>NW_003571055.2:0-195632 GCF_000001405.40 Homo sapiens | reverse complement strand
GAATTCCCCATGAGTCCTGTGACCTCAGCCCACGCGGGGACCTACAGGTGCTACGGCTCATACAGCTCCAACCCCCACCTGCTGTCTCACCCCAGTGAGCCCCTGGAGCTCGTGGTCTCAGGTGAGGGCGCTGACCCCGTCCTCTCTGAGCTCAAAGGCTCAGCTCAGGCCCAGGCCCCCAGGAGAGCTCTCGGCTGGGATGGACCGAGGGAGGCTGTGAGGGAGGCTTAGCCAGAGGGCACCCAGCCCTCAGAGGGGAGGAGGCCAACAGGGGTTCTCCTAGGCGTGGCCACCCGTTCTCCCCTGCCTGGCATGCAGAAGGCACCAGGTGGGCAGAGAGATGGTTCCAGGGAATCCACTGGGCGGAAGCAGGAGAGTGGGAGTGGAAGGGTGCACTCCATGGACGGCCCCCGCCCCTCACCCGCCTCCCGTGCTCCTTCCAGGACACTCTGGAGGCTCCAGCCTCCCACCCACAGGGCCGCCCTCCACACCTGGTGAGTCACTGAGGCCTCGTGGGGAGCGCCGCCTCCCCCAGGGCAGTCTGAGTCTCCCAAAGGATCCCACTCCCCTCCCCTCAAGGACGGGCTTGTGTCCCAGGGGCTCTGAGGCTGGGCTGGTGAAGAGTGGGGGGTCGAGGCAGAGGGAGATGTTGGGGCCCAGCCAGGAGGAGGAGCCGGGCTGATGTGGGGGGCAAGACAGCCCCAGCCTTCACCTCCCTGTCCTGACCCAGGAGGTCCTGAGGACCAGCCCCTTAACCCCCCAGGGTCAGGCCCTCAGAATCGTGAGTGAGGGGCTCTGAGTGGGAGATGGGCGGGGTCCAGGGGAGGCAGGGGTGGGTTCTGTCCTAGGTTCAGGCTCCTCTGGAGGTGGTGATGTGGACAGGCCCCTCCCCTGCCTGGGCCTCAGTTTCTCCAAGTGTAAAGGAGAGAGGCCTGTGGGTGGGAAAGTTCCTTTCAGCTCTGACCCCCAGCTGTGACCTCCTGGGAGAGGAGGCCTCCCAGGGAACCTCCCAGACCCGATTCCACAGGGGCCTGTCCCGTCCCACCTGCAGCAGTGACGGTGACCTGGGGCAGGGGAGGGGAGCAGGGCCGTGGTTCAGGACGGTCAGGCTCTTTCCCTGCAGCTCCGGGTCTCGGCTCTGGTGCAGGAACAAGGGCTGCAGGTCAGACTCCCGGGCTCCCTTCCCAGCTCTGCCGCTTCCTCGCTGGAGGCCTGGGGCAGGCGACTCCCTGCTCTGAGCCTCAGTTTGTGCATCTGTGAAATGGGTTGTACGGGTGGCAATTCCATGTTGCACGACTGCTTGTGAGGGTTGGAGGTCACGAAGGAAAGACCTGGCTCGCGCCTGCACACAGTAGGTGCTCACATCAATGACATCATTCCCACTCCTGACGTCCTCATGTCAAGGTCTGGGAAGATACCTGGAGGTTTTGATTGGGGTCTCGGTGGCCTTCGTCCTGCTGCTCTTCCTCCTCCTCTTCCTCCTCCTCCGACGTCAGCGTCACAGCAAACACAGGACATCTGGTGAGTAGGGAAGCGGGGGACCCATGGGTCGACCGAGGGTGGGCTCAGGGCACCAGCCAGAGGGAACCCAAACACACAGGGGTGTCAGTTTAGAAAACCGGTTCCAGGGGCACGTAATTTCAATACGCATTTACAAACTTCAGTATTCATGGGAGTTTTTTTCTATCTCATAAAATATTTGGAACATCCATGCAGGAATATTTTTAGTTTTCCTTCTTTCCCTCAAGTTGCATGTGTAGAATGGGAGTTCTAATGTTCCCAGGGCTGAGACTCTGTCCATCTTCACCCAGACCAGAGAAAGACTGATTTCCAGCGTCCTGCAGGGGCTGCGGAGACAGAGCCCAAGGACAGGGGCCTGCTGAGGAGGTAATTCTGCCCCAAAGACCACAGACTCCCACCCACCACAGCCCATACACTGCCCCTCACACTCCCATGTCCTCCTCCAGGTCCAGCCCAGCTGCTGACGTCCAGGAAGAAAACCTCTGTAAGAGGAAGAGAGGGGACAAATGGGGGTGCTGGAGAGACAGGAGTCCCAAAATTTCAGTAGCAACAGGGAGGGGCTGGGAAGGGTCTGGGGCTCCGTGGAAGATGGTCTTGCCCCACACTGTGGGACCTCCCTGCATTCGGTGGCCCCATCTGGGAGCAGGGCAGGGGGCCAGCAGGACTGAGAGGTCTCAGAGAACCAGGAGACGAACCCCTTGCTCTGCCCCAGCAGATGCTGCCGTGAAGGACACACAGTCTGAGGACAGGGTGGAGCTGGACAGTCAGGTGAGATCCCGCCCCGTCCCAGGCACCAAAGGCCTCCTGGTGCCAGATCTAATCCTGCAGGACTTCTCTGTCCTCCTTCCCCCGGCTCTCAGCATCGTCACGGTGGACCCCTCCTTGTCCAGCATGCTGCCTCCCGCCTGCTGTGACCTCACTCTCTTCTGCTGTCCTGGGACCTCGTGGGCCTCCTCCCGGGTCCCCTTCCTGCTCCTCATCCTCTGTTTGGCCGTCTGGTTGTTAGAGCTCTCCCCAGGCCTCAGGAGGATGACGAATAAATGAACCACCTCCGTCCCCTGGGCTCCTCTTCATTCATTCATCCAGCGAGTGTTCCCAGGGAGCTCACTGTGGATGGGGCTCCCCATGGGAGCTGCAGACACAGCAGGGAGCAAAGCCGCCCCCGCCTCCTGAGCTCACCTCATGGTGGGAGACAAAATGCAAATAAATGCATCGTGTCCAGGAGTGCAACGTGCTGTAAGGAACATACACCAGGGAAAGGGCAGAGAGTGTGGGGCAGTGGGGCCAGTCTGAATGGAAGGGGAGGGCTGTCTGCTCAGCTGTCATCTGAGAAGCCTGGACAGAGTGGGGCACATGATCCTCTGATAGACGAGCCCCTGCAGGCAGAGGAAACAGCCGTGCAAAGGCCCCCAGGCAGCAGCGAGCTCTTGCAGGAAGGCCTGTGAGGCTGCAGCCAAATGGGCAAGGTCAGAGTGAGGAGCAGAGGCCAGAACCACAGGGAGGGAGCGGCCAGACCCTCCACGGCCTTAGGGCGTCCCTGAGATTCCATCAGGAAAGGGATGTAATCGGATCACCCCGGGAACAGTGAGGAAAATTGACTCCAGGAGGTCAGGGGGACTCAAGGACACCCCCCACCACTGTCTCTCTCCAGCAGAGCCCACACGATGAAGACCCCCAGGCAGTGACGTATGCCCCGGTGAAACACTCCAGTCCTAGGAGAGAAATGGCCTCTCCTCCCTCCTCACTGTCTGGGGAATTCCTGGACACAAAGGACAGACAGGTGGAAGAGGACAGGCAGATGGACACTGAGGTGAGTCCTTTCCTCTCCAGGCCCCCAGGCCTCCCCCACCCCCACCACGTTCCTTACCTCTCACTCTCCCCCGCTGCAGGCTGCTGCATCTGAAGCCTCCCAGGATGTGACCTACGCCCAGCTGCACAGCTTGACCCTTAGACGGAAGGCAACTGAGCCTCCTCCATCCCAGGAAGGGGAACCTCCAGCTGAGCCCAGCATCTACGCCACTCTGGCCATCCACTAGCCCGGGGGGTACGCAGACCCCACACTCAGCAGAAGGAGACTCAGGACTGCTGAAGGCACGGGAGCTGCCCCCAGTGGACACCAGTGAACCCCAGTCAGCCTGGACCCCTAACACAGACCATGAGGAGACGCTGGGAACTTGTGGGACTCACCTGAC
The DNA here is from genome assembly GCF_000001405.40 of Homo sapiens. Classification (NCBI taxonomy): domain Eukaryota; kingdom Metazoa; phylum Chordata; class Mammalia; order Primates; family Hominidae; genus Homo; species Homo sapiens. Next base: position 191,919 of record NW_003571055.2, on the reverse strand, counting down.
TCAAAGATGACTAATATCGTCCCATTTTGGAAATAAAGCAACAGACTTCTCAACAATCAATGAGTTAATAACAAAAAAACAAAAAACAAAAACAGACGTAAAGGCCGGGTGTGGTACTCAGGAGGCTGAGTGGGGAGGATTCCTTGAACACAAGAAGTTAAGGCTGCTGAGGCTGCAGTGAGCTATGACTGTGCCACTGCACTCCAGCCTGTGTGACAGAGCGAGACCTTGTCTCTAAAAAAAAAAACAGTGAATGTTTTAAACTGAATGATAATGTAAATATTATACATCGAACTTATGACATGGGAAAATTAAGAAGCATAAATAGGCCGGGCGCGGTGGCTCACGCCTATAATCTCAGCACTTTGGGAGGCTGATGCGGGCGGATCATGAGGTCAGGAGATCGAGACCATCCTGGCTAACACGGTGAAACCCCGTCTCTACTAAAAATACAAAAAAATTAGCCGGGCGTGGTGGCGAGTGCCTATAGTCCCAGCTACTCAGGAGGCTGAGGCAGGAGAATGGCATGAGCCCGGGAGGCAGAGCTTGCAGTGAGCTGAGATCGCACCACTGCACTCCAGCCTGGGCGACAGAGTGAGATTCCGTCTCGAAAAAAAAAAAAAAAGAAAGAAAAAAAATAAAAAAGAAGCATAACCAGGTGCAGTGGCTCACACCTGTAATCCCAATACTTTGGGAGGGCAAGTGGGGAGGATAGCTTGAGCTCAGGAGTTCGAGTCAGTCAGATCAGCATTGTGAGGCCCCATCTCTACAAAAAATAAAACCAGTCCGGCGTGGTGGCACACACCTGTAGTCCCAGCTACTTGAGAGGCTGAGGTGGGAGGATCACTTGGGTACAGGAGGTCGAGGCTGCAATGAGCCGAGATCGCACCACAGCACTTCAGCCTGGACGAGACCCTGTCTCAAAAAAACAAAACAACTAACAAGCCAGTGAAATTATCTGTTGATTAGTGTTTGCATAATACATTTTTCATCCTTCTGCTTTTTTAATGTGATAAAATATAAACAACAGGCCAGGCGCGGGGGTTCATGCCTGTAATCCCAGCACTTTGGGAGGCCAAGGCGGGTGGATCACAAGGTCAGGAGTTCAAGACTAGCCTGGCCAAGATGGTGAAACCCCATCTCTACTAAAAATACAAAAACTGGCCAGGTGTGGTGGCAGGCACCTGTAATCCCAGCTACTAGGGAGGCTGAGGCAGAGAACTGCTTGAACCCAGGAGGCAGTGGTTGCAGTGAACCGAGATCACACCACTGCACTACAGCCTGGGCAACAGAGCAAGACTCTGTCTCAAAAAAAAAAAATTCCAATCTTGTAATCTCTTTTTGATCACTTATATTTAATGTAATCACTGATGACATTACAACCGTATGTCACTTAATGACAGGGATATGTTCTGAGAAAGCCATCATTAAAAAATTTTGGCCAGGCGTGGTGGCTCATGCCTGTAATCCCAGAACTTTGGGAGGCCAAGATGGGTGGATCACCAGAGGTCGGGAATTCGAGACCAGCCTGCTCAACATGGTGAAACCCTGTCTCTACTAAAAATACAAAAATTAGCCGGGCATCGTGGTGCATGCCTGTAATCCCAGCTACTTGGGAAGCTGAGGCAGGAGAATCGCTTGAACCTGGGAGGCGGAGGTTGCAGTGAGCCAAAATCGTGCCATTTCACTCCAGCCTGGGAGACAGAATGAGACTCCATCTCAAAAAAAAGAAAAAAAAAAATTCACCGTCGTGTGAACATCATAGAGTCTACTTACACAAACCTACGTGGTATAACCTACTACATACATAGGCTATACCATCACATATGAAATGTGTAGTGGAGCGAAACATCGTTATGCGGTGCATGACTGTGTTCAGGTGTGCCTTTTTGTTTGTCTCCTCTGCTGTGTGTTGTTTCCCCTTTCCTGCCTACTCTAGGTTTTTAGAAATATTTTGATTTGTTAAAAACTTATGATTCCCCCCTCGCCCGGCCAGCCGCCCCGTCCGGGAGGGAGGTGGGGGGGTCAGCCCCCCGCCAGGCCAGCCGCCCCATCCGGGAGGTGAGGGGCGCCTCTGCCCGGCCGCCCCTACTGGGAAGTGAGGAGCCCCTCTGCCCGGCCGCCACCCCGTCTGGGAGGTGTACCCAACAGCTCATTGAGAACGGGCCATGATGACAATGGCGGTTTTGTGGAATAGAAAGCGGGGAAAGGTGGGGAAAAGATTGAGAAATCGGATGGTTGCGGTGTCTGTGTAGAAAGAGGTAGACATGGGAGACTTTTCATTTTGTTCTGTACTAAGAAAAATTCTTCTGCCTTGGGATCCTGTTGATCTGTGACCTTACCCCCAACCCTGTGCTCTCTGAAACATGTGCTGTGTCCACTCAGGGTTAAATGGATTAAGGGCGGTGCAAGATGTGCTTTGTTGAACAGATGCTTGAAGGCAGCATGCTCGTTAAGAGTCATCACCACTCCCTAATCTCAAGTACCCAGTGACACAAACACTGCGGAAGGCTGCAGGGTCCTCTGCCTAGGAAAACCAGAGACCTTTGTTCACTTGTTTATCTGCTGACCTTCCCTCCACCGTTGTCCTATGACCCTGCCAAATCCCCCTCTGCGAGAAACACCCAAGAATGATCAATAAAAAAAAAAAAAAAAAACTTATGATTCCTTAACTTTTCTATTTAATATTTTTGGACCATGGTTGACCACCAGGTAACTGAAAACACAGAAAGAAAATTACAGATAAAGGGGGACTACTGTATTAGAGTTTTTTAAAAATATATTTTAAATTTTTTTGTAGCAATGGGATCTCACGATGTTGCCCAAACTGGCCTCAAACTTGTGGGCTCAAGAGCCTCCCATCTCCGCCTCCCAAAGTGTTGGGATTACAGGCATGAGCCACTGTGCCCAGCTTAAGAGTTTTTAATTGAAAAATAATAATTGTACATATTTATGGAATACAGAATATTTGATTTTATCTACGTGTGTGTGTGTGGTTTTTTTTTTTTTCGAGATGGAGTTTCACTCTTTTTGCCCAGGCAGGAGTGCAATGGTGCAGTCTCGGCTCACTGCAACCTCCGCTTCCCAGGTTCAAGTGGTTCTCCTGCCTCAGCCTCCCAAGTAGCTGGGACTACATGTGTGCACCACTATGCCCAACATATATATATTTACATATATATATATTTTTTTTTGAGACGGAGTCTCGCTCCATTCTACCTCAGCCTCCCGAGTAGCTGGGATTACAGACACATGCCACCACGCCTGGCTAAGTTTTATATTTTTAGTAGAGACAGGGTTTTGCCAGGCTGGTCTTGAACTCCTGACCTCTTGATCTGCCTGCCTCCCAAAGTGCTGGGATTATAGGCGTGAGCCACCGCACCCGGCCCAACAAATATATTTTTATTGAGATACAACTCTATTTTGTGGCATTTAGTAAATTCACAATATGGTGTAAGCATCACCTCTATCTCATTCCGAAACATTTTTATCATACCGAGAAGGAAACCGAGTTTACATCAAGCAATCACTCCCACCTAATCCCATGCAACAATTAACCTACTTTCTGCCTCTATCGATTGGCCTTCTTTGAATACCTTTTTTTTTTTTTTTTGAGACAGGGACTCACTCTGTCACCCAGGTTGGAGTGCAGTGGTGTGATCTCGGCTCACTGTAACCTCTGCCTCCCAGGCTCAAGCGATCCTGCCACCTGAGCCTCCCAAGTAGCTGGGATCACAGGCACATGCCACCATGCCGGGTGAATTTTTTGTATTTTTGGTAGAGATGGTATTTCACCATGTTGCCCAGGCTGGTCTCAAACTCCTAAACTCAGGCAATCCACCTGCCTTGGCCTCCCAAAGTGCTGGATTACAGGCAATGAGCCACCACACCCAGGCTGGATACTTCTTATAAATGAAATAACGTCATATGTGACCTTTTTTTCCTGACTGCTTTTATCTAGTATATTATCAAGGTTCACACATGTAGCATGTATGAGTACTTCATTCCTTTCTACGGTTGAATAATATTTTGTTGTAAGGATATACCACACTTTCTCTATTCACCAGCTGATAGACATCGCTACAAAAATAAGTAGTGGCTGTGGAGGTGCACGTCTGTAGTCCCAGCCACTCGGGAGCCTGAGGCGGGAGGATCACCTGAGCCACGATGTCAAGGCTGCAGTGAGCTATGATAGTGCCACTGCACTCCAGCCTGGGCAACAGGCCTCATCTTTTAAGCAAAGAAAAAAGAGGCCGAGCATGGTGGCTCATGCCCGTAATCCCAACACTTTGGGAGGCTGAAGCGGGCGGATCACCTGAGGTCAGGAGTTCAAGACCAGCCTGGCCAACATGGTAAAACTCTGTCTTTACTAAAAAATACAAAATTTAGCTGGATATGGTGGCGCGCATCTGTAATCCCAGCTAACTGGGAGATTGAGGCAGGAGAATCGCTGGCACCTGGGAGGTGGAGGCTGCAGTGAGCTGAGATCACGCCACTGCACTCCAGCCTGGGTGACAGAGCAAGACTCTGTCTCAAAAACAAAAAAAAAAAAAAAGAAAAAGAAAAAAGAGGCCGAGCATGATGGCTCATGCCTGTAATCCTAACACTTTGGGGGGCCAAGGCAAGAGGATGATTTAAGGTCAGGAGTTCGAGAATAGCCTGGCCAACATGGTGAAACTCTGTCTCTACTAAAAATACAAAAATTAGCCAGGCGTGGTTGCACGTGCCTGTAATCCAGCTACTTGGGAGGCTGAAGCAGGACAATCACCTGAACCCAGGAGGTGGAGGTTGTAGTGAGCTGGGGTCACGCCACTGCACTCCAGCCTGGGAAACAGAGCAAGACCATGTCTAAAAAAAAAAAAAAAGGGGGAAAGAAAAGAAAGAAAAAAAGAGTGCTACTCATTAACAGGAAAGTTGGCTGGGCGCGATGGCTCACGCCTGTAATCCCAGCACTTTGGGAGGCCGAGGCGGGTGGATCACGAGGTCAGGAGATCGAGACCATCCTGGCTAGCACGGTGAAACCCCGTCTCTACTAAAAATACAAAAGATTAGCCGGGCGTGGTGGCGGGCGCCTGTAGTCCCAGCTACTCGGGAGGCTGAGGCAGGAGAATGGCGTGAACCCGGGAGGCGGAGCTTGCAGTGAGCCGAGATCGCGCCACTGCACTCCAGCCTGGGCGACAGAGCGAGACTCCGTCTCAAAAAAGAAAGTCAGTGAAGGGACCTGTTTGGGAAAACAAAGCCCAGGCTCGAAGGAAGCTTGTGCTTCCCTCTGTGAGCAAGTTAAGTCTTAGAAACATCTCCCCGAGCCTCCTTCTCCCACGCGGGTCGTCTGTCCTGCGGCAGCCCCACTGGTTCCTCCCATCAACCAAGGCAGAGAGTGGAAAAGCTCCTCACACTCTTCTGCTTCACACACAGTGAACAAATCCAAACCTCTCTGCCCACATCCCTCCTCACCCGGCTCCACCCGTGTCCGCTGGTCCATCCCCACAGTCTAAGCTCAGCTGGGGACCGAGGACGCCCTGTCTGTGCACTGCACCAACCTCCCTCCTGGCCCCCTACTGGCTCCCATCCCTACTCCAGTCCATCCCTCTCATCACTTCCGAGGCCTCTTCTGACCATCTTACCTGGCTGTGACCCTCCACTGCTCAAATTCCCCCAACGGGGCTCCATCTTCCAAAAATAAGATGCACGTTCCTGTACTTCATGTTCAAGCCTGTTGATGACCAAACCTGATACACTTTCCAGCTTCACAGGCTATGGCTCCCCCTCTGCCACACCAAACTCATCACAGTTACCCACCCCCTGCCACACACACACAACCTCAGTTATTAAACACGTGTAAGTCTTCTGACGGCCGCTCCCTGAGCCAATCCGGATGTAGCTGACACCTCTGCAGAGCTGGTAGACTATGACAAAGAGAAGCCCTCCTGCCTCGTTCCACTCCACTGTAAACGTATGTGTGTCATAGGTCATGAGGAGTCCACATAAACCACTTAGAATCCTTATCAGCACATTGCCTAGTGGCTGGGCTCACGCTGGAGTGTGGTTATGGTTAACCATTAGTGAAACCCTCCCATATTGCATTCTGTGCAGTGATGGGCTTGTAAAAACAGACATCTGTTTCCACTGTGCTTTCTAAAGATTCCCCGGTTTTTTTTTTTTTTTTTTTGAGATGGAGTCTCACTCTGTCACCTAGGCTGGAGTGCTGTGGCGCAATCTCGGCTCACTGCAACCTCCACCTCCCGGGTTCAAGTGATTCTCCTGCCTCAGCCTCCCGAGTAGCTGGGATTACAGGCGTCCACCACCACACCTGGCTGATTTTTTGTGTCTTTAGTAGAGACGGGGTTTCACCATGTTGGCCAGGCTGGTCTCGAACTCCTGACCTCATAATCCACCCACCTCCGCCTCCCAAAGTGCTGGGATTACAGGTGCAAACCACCGTGCCGGGCCGGATTTTCCATTTTCTTAAACATAGCATCCAATAAATCTTCACGGTGCACAAGTCCCCTGAATGACAAGGTCCCAGCTTCCTTTGGCTCACTCTCAGGTCTGAGAACAGCCCACACTGTTTCTGGTGGAGGACACTCTGCGTGCCACACTCACTGTTCACGTCTTGGTCTCTCCATCCCCCAGAAGGACCCCTCACTCCCATGACAGGTGTACGCTGCTCACCTGCTATGAGCATGTTTTCCTCCTTTCCTACAACTTGTCGAAACCGGAGCAGAATTACCTCCTATCTAAACATGGGTAATGTGTCATTAACCCAGGCTCTGTGAGTCCAGCAGGAATCCTATCAGCTTCACCCACGACTCCCCTCCTCCTGGCAGCATGCCTGGATGTGGTAACCACTGAATAAACATCGCCTGATCGCAAGGCTCATGAAAGAAAAGATGCATTACAGAGCTCAGGACATGGAAGGGGCTTGCCTCTAGAATTAGAACAGTGACTGGGCTGTGTCCTAAGGCCCTGCCCTCTCTGGCCTCAGCCTCATGTGCTAGAACAAGGGTCACCCCTGGATGAGAGTTGGGTGAGGTGGAAGCAGGCAGAGTATGGGGAAGTCAAATTTTGACTCAAATGTGGTCTGAAAGGCCCCCAGAGCCTGCTGTCCCCTCAGCCCCATCCTTCAGGGGGAGCAGAGCGAGGCCCTGGGGAAGGGGCTGTTCCCCTCCTGCAAGGCCACTGGTGAGAACACATGACCTGTAACACAGAGCCCGGGGCTCCTTATACCAGCACACCCATCTGCCCTCCAGGCTCTGTGGCTCAATGGTCTAATTCATCTGCACTGCTGGGGACCGTGACAGGCAGGGCCACAACCCCCACCCTCATTGCCCATCTCCCTGCTGTGTGTCCAGGGAAGCCTTAGGTGGACACGGGGTGGTCAGTGACCCCGACCTCTTGGGCCAGAAGCACAAGGCAGAAGGCATGGAGTTGAGACCGGTGAGAGCTCTCCCTGCAGGCCCCAGCGGGCCCCAGAGAGTACGCATCCCCTAAATACCAGTCGCCTCATCTCAGGGGCGTCCAGGCAGCCCTCAGCCCTCCCTCTCAGCACAGCCGGGATCGCCGGTGCTCTCTGGAGACAGCCTGACCCCTCAGCATCACTCAGAGGCCGGTTTTGACAGCTCTGCATTGACCAGGACAAGGGGCTCCCAGCCCGCCAGCGCCTAGATGGGCAGCACCTCCTGGACGTCCCCCTGGGCCATGCGAGCCACCCCCCTGGGGGCCAGCACAGATGCTGCGGTGGACACAATGCCTCCTGCCCAAGGTCGGTCCCCCGTCGCCCCCACCCAACATCCTGGTTGCAAGTGAGGGGCCCCTACCCAGACCCCATCCCGTTCTCTGCTCTGGACCCTGGGCTCAGGGTCGAGAGAGAGAATGATACAGGGATGTGGTCCAAGGAGATCACCAAGAAAGGGAGAGCAAGAGGCCCGGAGATTAAACAGACCCACGCAGGCCAGGCACTGTGGCTCACACCTGTCATCCTAGCGCTTTGGGAGGCGAGTGGATTGCTTGAGGCCAAGGGTTTTAGATCAGCCGGGGCAACACATTGAGACTCCATCTCTACAAATTCTTGAGATGGAGTCTCCCTCTGTTGCCCCGCTCGCTGCCTCTGTAGACAGAGCCCTGAAGACCCTTTTCCTTTCCAAGCCCGTAGGCTTCTCCCCAGAACCGCATACCTCAACTCCCACTCTCCCCTCCCTCCAGGCTGCCGTGGAGCTCCGCAATTGTGAGCTACACCCAGGTGAGCCACCACCTCTCAGACCAGAGACAACTGCAGTCTCTTCCTCCCAGGGGAGCTCCCAGGAGCCCAGTGAGTACGCTGCCCCGGCCATCCACTAGCCCAGACCCCACGCTCCAAGGAAGGAGACCACAGTGAGCCCAGATGGTGCAGCAGCTGGCCCCATGGACACAAGACCACCGTCATTTCCCAAGTAGCAACGCTGAGGGAAGGAAGGGCCAACCACCTAGCTTGAGTAAGCCGCAATGGACTTCTCCACGTGGTTTACAGTAACTTAGCTGTGTTCCAGAACTGTCCCTGCCCTGACCTCAAACCCTGAAGGCCTCCAGATAAGGACCCAATCAACTACAGCCTGCAGCCTGAGGGGGTTGCACAATTTCAGGTTTCTCACTTCCTCAGAAACCAAACCCCTTCCCAACACAGATGATCAACAAGGCTGAGAAAAGGGAAGCCTGCCAACCTCTTGACCGTGAGTCCACAGAAGCACTGAACGCGGAGAGGAGGAACAGACTTCCCTCAACGCCCCTTCTCCTACGCTAACCCACTTCCCCTACATGTGAAGACAAAACTGGGAACTTGCCCAACATCAACCGCATCACAAGCTTTGAAACTAGCAAGCAAATTCTGTGAAGTGTTCCCCAACAATCACCAACAGTTCACCTTCCCCAGCAACCCGTCAGCCTCTGGTCAGCTCCCGTCCCACCTGTCTCTTGCCTGGCGGGGTCAGGGTCCCAGGGCCAGCAGGCAGGGAAGGCCCCCACCTCCACTCGGCGCCTGCCCTGCCTAGCAATGACCGGCTCCCTCCCACCCCTATATGCAAACACCGGCTTACTTGGAATTTCCTTCTGGTTTTGACACAGTTTTTCCAAAAATACCACTCGTCTCTCCCCTGATGACAGAAGTTTCTGGTAAAGATGTGTGTTCACTACTGTAGAATAGTACTGAGAGGCCAGGGACCACTAGCTGGTAGGCACTCCCAAGTGAGTGAGCCTCCCAGGGAAGGCTGCATGTTTAGAGCAGGGGAAAGAGTCAAGGATGAGAGACCCCCACACACCAATTGTAAAGCGCTGATCCTGTTTATTTGGCAGGAAAACGAGACAATCCAGCAGCCCAGGAGGGACAGGTGGACTTAATCCTCCTCCTCGTCGTCTCCAGCCCCAGCCCCACCCTGGCCCTTCTTGGCATTCTTCCTCTTCACGCGGCCCGGGCGGCCACCCCCGTAGGGAGAGCGCAGAGAGAAGTCGATGTGCTTCTGGGAATCCAGGCGGACAATGAAGGACGGGATGTTCACCACCTGCTTGCGGACCCTGGAAGAAGCGACAAGGTGAGGTGGACTGGAGGAGAAACGGACGCTAACCCCAGCTACCGCACCACTCTTTCCTCTCCACCCACCCCGTGAGGCCGCCACGGCTGCAGACACCAAGGCGCTGCAGGAAGGGTGCACCTGATCCTACGTGCGCCCTCCGGGGTTTTAGGGTATCACCTTAATCCCCAAAAATGCTTCAGATGACTTTCTCAACCCCATTTTATAGGAGAAATCTGAAAGTATCCCACCTAAGACCACAAAGCAAATGAGATGGCCATGTGAGAGCCCCCAAGTTCCGAGTCTGAAATATCGTGAACCCCACACCTGACACTGAGCTGTATTACCACGTGCAGCAGCAATGCCCACAATAACACAGCAACCCGAGGCTACGTCTCCGACGAAAGCATTGACACACAAGGCTCTGCCTACGGCTCACAGGGTTAGTGAAGGGCTGGGGCGAAGATTCTAAACGCAAACATCTTGCCCTCTTTCTGTACAGCTCCTCCCCCTCAATGGTGCCACATTACAGAAAGGGCACACTGAGTACCCAGAACGCAGTCATGGATCGGGGTCTGGAATCAACTTCACAAGCGAGCCAGGAGACAGCTGAACCCACCACCCAAGCGAGGTGAGGCTGGTTCTCTCCCTCCACTGGGGACACCAAGAGCTGTTACCTGTCCAGCTGCCCACATGCCTGGCAGAGGCCTTCACAAGGTGTACGGCTAGAGCCGCAGTGACCCTTGCGCTGGGCTATTGGGGCAAGAGGCTGCCCCAGCTCCCTGGTGAGCTGTGTGCAAGGGTGAATCTGTACCCTCTGGGTGAGTTCACACCCATCACCTCCGAGGGCTGCATAGGAGATAGGGACAGCAGGCTTAGTGAGGGCAACCATCAGAGGGGCAGGTGGAGGAAGATTCAGGTGCCCATCCGAGGTGGTACCTGATATGGCGCTGGCGGATCAGCACGCGAGCGTGGTGGATGGACTTGGCCAAGCCCAGCTTGAAGACCTGGGTCTGCAGGCGTCTCTCTAAGAAATCCTCTATCTTCAGGCCCAGGATGTAATCCAGCTTCATCTTGCCCTCATCCAGCACCCCAATGCGGACCAGCCGCCGCAGCAGGGCGTTGCCTGGGAAGAGTGGGAGGAAACACTGATTCCGCCTTCTGACCTCAGGCTTCTTGGGTTCAAATCCTGGCTCCGCCTCTTGGTAGCTCCATGCCGCGGCGGTGAGGCACAAGTAGTACAGCGCCATCACCGTGACCCATGTCACTGTCAAAACCACCCTACGGGCTGGGAGTGGTGGCTCACACCTGTAATCCCAGCACTTCGGGAGTCCGAGACGGATCACTTGAGGTCAGGAGTTTGAGAGACCAGCCCGGCCAACATGGCGAAAGCCCGTCTCCACTAAGATTACGAAAAATTAGCCAGGCCGTTGGCGCACTGCCTGTAATCCCAGCTATTCAGGAGGCTGAGGAAGGAAAACTGCTTGAACCCAGGAGGCGGAGGTTGCAGTGACCTGAGATGGGGCCACTGCACTCCAGCCTGGGCGACAGAGTGAGGCCCTGTCACAAAACAAAACAATACAAAAAACCAAACTACCCTATGGTTGTCAGGTCATCATTCATAGTAAACTGCAGATGACAGGAGGGCAAAATACACCTGCCTCCTCATCTGAGAGCATACATCCCTCGCTCCACATTCTTAGCAAGAGTAAAGGAAATCACCTCCTTACAAGGACTCAGTCTGCAAAAGACCAAATGCAGCTGCTATTAAGCTACTACCACCGTAACAAAGCACAGTGCTGAAGAGTTCATATCCTCAGCCCAGAAAGCTCTTCTGATTAAGCAGATGTGAGATTGAATCACATTCCGTGCCATAAATAGCAGTATCTACATCTTTTAAGGAGAGAAAAGTAATTTCTAACACTAGAATTTTTCCAGCTAAGTACATGTCATTCATTTTACTATTCTGTACAAAATTTTCCACCAAAAATAGATCTAGTATGTATATAACCTAACAATGCACTGCATAAAATATCCAACAGATGCCCTACTACACCTTTCTTCCAACCCCAGGCTCAGGACGGCTTGCTCCTTACCCTGTCCAAAGCCATGGCTTCTAGCTAATACTCTGGACTGCCCTTGCCCACAGCCCCAGGGCCCTGGGGGCAAACGCCATCCCCTAGGCTCCCGCTCACTGCTATAATCCCACACGCCTTCAGCAAATCAACTGCCCCTTGACTGGGGTAAACACCTCAACCTTTTTTCCTTATGTGCACTTTTATAAAAAGTGGCTCTTACTAGTTACAGCAAACCATTCAAGCAAGCTTTCATAAATAGATCTACATGCATCAGGCACTTCTGATATTCCTGGCACTGTTACCCTCCAAGCAAAGTTTGAAAGAAAGCTAGCTCACTTTGTGAGGACCCAAAGTTTTCCCAGTAGGGAGCAGTTACAGGTAGGGAGAATCAAAATGGAAACACCAGCTGTGTGCATTTCCAGCATCCTATGTCATACTATGGCTTCAATTTTTGTTCTTTTTTAACTCAACATCAGAGGATATTTAAACACCTGAATATCAAAATACAAAAACATGTCCAAAAGGCAATGAAAATGAGTTTGGGATCATTTACCTCTTTGGACACTTCACGCCTTTTTGTCTTTACATTAGAAAATGGAAACTTAAGCCACGCACAGTCCCTTATGCCTGGCCTATAAACCCAATATTTTGGGAGGCTGAGGCAGGAGGATCAGTTGAGTCCAGAAGTTTGAAACTAGCCTCGGCAACACAGTGAGACCGCATTTGTACCAAAACAAACAAAAAAGTAAAACTAAATTAGCTGGGCATGGTGGTACATGGTGGATTGTGGTCCCAGCTACTAGAGCTGAGGAGGATCACTTAAGCACAGGAGGTCCAGGCTGCAGTGAGCCACGACCATGCCACTGTGCTCCAGCCCGGGAGACAAAGTGAGATCGTCACCATTAGGCAAAACAAAGGCATGATTTTAAAAAAATGTTTCACATTTATTATCATTTTTGAGACAGAGTTTCGCTCTCGTTGCCCAGGCTGGAGTGCAATGGCGTGATCTCGGCTCACTGCAAACTCCGCCTCCTGGGATTCTCCTGCCTCAGCCTGGGATTACAGGCATGCGCCACCACGCCCCGCTAATTTTGTATTTTTTCAGTAGAGACTAAGGGGTTTCTCCACTTTGGTCAGGCTAGTCTCAAACTCCCGACCTCGGGTGATCCGCCTGCCTCTGCCTCCCAAAGTGCTGGGATTACAGGCATGAGCCACTGCACTCAGGCCCACATTTATTGAACCATCTATCTCCTGAAAAAGAACAGGAGAGTCAGCCACAGGCAAAACCTTTAAGTATGAAGACAATAGTTTTCAACAGCACAATAAACCTTACACCTTCAACAAAAGCATGTCCTACTGCTGAGGCTCCACTGGGCCAATGCACCAAGAGAATTTAAAATGCTTTAAAAATGCAAACCAGGGAGGACCTCAGTGGGAAACAGGTCCTTGTCATCATACAAGGCAGTTAGGTATTACAATGCCTTCATTTCTGATCTGAAAAATGGACATGACTCCTACATTTCTTCACAGTTGTGCTGGGGGGTGGGGGGGGAGTTCGTGTTGTTTTGTGTCTCGCTGTCACCCAGTGCAGTGCCGCGGATCTCGGCTCACTGCAGTCTCTGTCTCCCAGGTTCAATCAATTCTCCTGCCTCAGCCTCCCGAGTAGCTGGGATTATAGGCACACCACCATGCTCGGCTAATTTTTGTATTTTTCGTAGAGATGGAATTTCACCACGTTGGCCAGGCTGGTCTCTGACTTGAGGTCTCCTGACCTCAAGTGATCCGACCACCTCGGTCTCCCAAAGTGCTGGGATTACAGGCATGAGCCACCACGCCTGGCCTCTATCTGTTGATTATTAACTGCCAGCCAAATGTTGGCGGCTGTTCAGTCTTAACAGACGAGACTCAGAATCTCGCTAGTCACACATCTTAGTGGGAAAGGCTGGATCTGAATCAAGGCAGGATTACACCAAAGAGCAAACATCCAAGCTCCTCCTTCCTGTCCCTGACTAGGCTAGATGGCTTCATTTACTAGAAAGTGTACTCACCTGAACAACTGTGTACCCCTTGGGAATTTTCACTTCTGCCTTGGAAAACCACAAATAACCCTCAGACACCTGCACCGCTTTCTCACATGACTGTAAGTTTCATTGCAATTAGGATCTATGTCCAGAAAGTCCTCCCTAAAACCAGAACCAGCTATAGCCCACTCCCCACAGAACCCTGGGATGAATTCCCACCCAGCATCAGTATCTATGGGGGAGGGATCTCCAGCACTTTCATGAGATTATCAACGGGGTCTACAAATTGACGAAAAGAATGAAAGGGTCAGGTGCGGTGGCTTACACCTGTAACCCCAGCACTTTGGAAAGCTGAGGTGGATGGATCACTTGAGGTTAGGAGTTGGAAACCATCCTGGTCAACACTGCAAGATCCTGTGCCTATTTAAAGAAAAAGCTTCTAACATCTGCAAGCCTGGGACAAACTGTGATAATCTGTAGCTAAACATGCGCCAGGACTTTCTCAACGCCTAACATGGATGACCACTCTCATGCCTAACAGTCAGGGCTCAGGTGTAGAGACTGCTTTTCACCATAAATCATGACTACCCAAACTCAGGCAAAAGCAGCGTCTCAGGATATACAAATGCCAATCTTGGTCATGCCAATCTGCTGTAGAAAGCACTCCAATAACACCGCATCTCAGAGTAGATTTTAAAACAAGATGGTTAAGATGGTACATTTTCAATTTAATGTGTATTTCACCACAATTAGTAAAGTAAGCCTAAGTCTATGTGATCTGCATGCCCTCCTAAAGTCATCACCTGAAATGCTGTTCCCTGAGACATTTTACAGGTTCTCTCCTGTTCAGGCCTTTGCTAAATACCACCTAAATGTCCTTGACCAGCTTAAAAAAACAAGCACCAGCCTGGACAACATGGTGAAAACCCATCTCCACTAATAATAGAAAATTAGCCAGGCTTGGTGGCCCATGCCTGTGATTCCAGCTACTTAGGAGGCTAAGACAGGAGAATCGCTTGAACTCTGGAGGCGGAGTTTGCAGTGAGCCAAGATTGCGACAACTACACTCCAGCATGGGCAATGGAGCGAGACTCCGTCTCAAAAGTAAAATTAGCCAGGTGTGGTGGCGTGCGCCTGTCTGTAGTCCCAGCTACTTGGGAGGCTAAGATAGGAGAATTGTTTGAACCCAGGAGGCGGGGGTTGCAGTAAGCCGAAATGGCGCCACGGCACTCCAGCCTGGGCAACAGAGCAAGACTCCGTCTCAAAAGACTAAATAAAACGAGAAAACTTAATTAAAAAAACAATAAACCAAGCAAATGTGCAAACCCTGTTATCACCATCACTTAGCCCAGAAATTCCACTTCATAGTCTACTCTCATCCACTAGCAAACAGGCCACATAAACAGAATATAAAGATATAGACGGGTGCCCAGGTGTGCCAGGCCTATCTTTAGCTCTGGTCATTACTAAACTGAAGGTCCAATAACTGGGCAAAAAAGCCACACACCTAAGAAACAGGGCAAAGACTGATCCAGATACACTTTTCCTACTTCACAAGTGCCACTAAAAGTTAGAAGGCTGGTTCCATTTATCCAATGACACAACTCTCATCACTGGAACAGAGGCAACAGAAGGGAGAATGAACCTCACAAGCCCTGCACCCCATCCCTCTGCTGTGGACTCCCATACGCACCTTCGAACAGACGCCGTGGGTCCTTCTCATCAAGCGTCAGCAGTTCCCGGGCGGCCTTGCGGATCTTGGCCAGGGTAAATTTGACCCTCCAGACCTCACGTTTGTTCCGGAGCCCATACTCGCCTGGTGGGGAGAAGGGGGTGGACAAGTGTAGTCCCACGTACTGGCACAACAACTAGACTGGCAGCTTTGGAATCACAAAACCTTCCTAAACCACGAATAGTACCAAATTTAGGGGACGGACTAGATAGAGTACATGGGCACCTTCATCCACGTGCTAACCGCCTCCCGGAAGCCGAACCACTTCCCGGAAGCCTTGGCCACTCACCGATCAGCTTCAGCTCTTGGTCGAGACGAGATTTCTCGAAGGGTCTCCGCGGGGTCACATAAGTTTTGCGACAAACCCAGCTCCGGGCCACTGGCATGTTGGCTCCGCTTCCCCGTCTGCGCCTGCGCGGGAGAGAAGTGTGAGCGTAAGGGCTCCAAACGGCGCCTGCGCAGTCCCACAACTACGCCAAAACCTCGCGGAGCCCAGATCCGATCTCGCGAGAATAACCTCCAACGCTCTCATAGTCAGTATCTGCCCCCACAACCGTGCTGCACTCCCGTTCAACCACCCTGCTCTGTTTCCTAACGTCTTTAGCTTACTCATGGAAACTCGGAAGGCCCGGGCCACCATCCAACCCAAACCCTAGAGAAAAAGCACACCGCCGCACCTCACCTAAGCAAACCACCCGGTCACTGAGAAAGAGGCGCGCAAGCGCCACGGCTGCGCTCTTATAGTAACGCCGGCGTCTCGTGACGTTTTCACGCACCACGCACGTCAGAGCCAATCAGAAGAGGCGTTGGCTGGCTGAGAAGCAGTGGAGACGTGAGGCTGGGCTAGAGCGGCGTGCTAACCTGGGAGGACTAGGTTTTTTCCGGCCAGGGAGTGGAAACCTGAGAAGTAGGGAGAACCTTCCTTCTCCGCCCCTGGACGGTGGTTTTTCTTTTTCTTTCTGAGACAGGGTCTCGCTCCGTCGCCCAGGCTGGAGTGCAGTGGCGTGATTTCGGCTCACTGAGGCCCCGACCAACCTCTCGGGCTCGAGCGATCCTCCCACCTCCTCCCCAGTAGCTGGGATTACAGGCACACGCCACGACGCCCGGGTAGCATTTTTTTTTTTTTAACAGTCGGCGTCTTGCCATGTTGCCCAGGCTGGTCTTGAACTCCCGGCCTCGAGAGAGCCTCCCGCCGTGGCCCCCCCAAAGTGCTGGGATTACAGGCGTGAGCCACCGCGCCCAGCCGAGATTATTTCTGTCACTAACAATAATGTGGCATTCTGGAACGCTATGTGCCACATACTGTTCTAAGAATTTTAAATGTATTTACTCAATCTTCAATACATACTTACAGAGCACTCTCAGAGAAGTTGCCCCCCCACCCATGGTACTATTATTATCAATAGCCACTTAAGGGGTATTAGTACTATTATCAGTAATTTATTTTATTTTTGAGACGGAGTTTTTCGCTCTCGTCACCCAGGCTGGAGTGCAGTGGTGCGATCTCGGCTCACTGCAACCTCCGCTTCCCGGGTTCAATCGATTCTCGTGCCTCAGCCTCCCGAGAAGCTGGGACTACAGGCGCCCACCACCATGCCCGGCTAATTTTTAAATTTTTAGTAGAGACGGGGTTTTGAACTCCTGGTCTCCAACGCCTGACCTCAAGTGATCCACCCGCCTCAGCCTCCCAAAGTGCTAAGATTACAGGTGTGAGCCACCGCGCCTGACCTAGAGTTCTCTTTTTATATATAGTCTGGTTATTGTCTGTCTGTACACCCATCTCTCCACTCCGAATGCGATGGTCTGTCTCCACAGCTCGTGTTCTTCAGTTGTCTTCCCTACGCTGCTGCCTCGGCAGTCACTATCTCCTCAGGAAGCAGTCCCACCCGCCCCTTTCTCTTCCACGGCATCCACACCATCCGGATGCCTGGATTCAAATGCCACGTCACCACTTGCCAGCTGCAGTGCCTTCGACAAGTTTCTCAATCACTCTGTGCCTCAGCGTCCTCCTCTGTAAAACGGCGAATGATGGTAGCGCCTACCTCATAAGCTTGTGAGGATTAAGTGAGAGTCTATCCAGTGTTGAGGAGAGTGGCATAAATAAAGCGCCTAGTGGTAGCTACCATCGTCATTATTGTCATCTGCATTGTACTTCCATATCTTACAAACTACCTTGTTCAGTTTTATGGGTTTTTTGTTTGTTTGTTTTGTTGTTTTGAGACGGGGTTTTGCCATATTGCCCAGGCTGGTCTTGAACTCCTGGGCTCAAGTGATCCACTCGCCTCAGCCTCCCCAAGTGCTGGGATTACAGGTGTAAGCCACCATGCCTGGCCAAATTTTATGCATTTTTGTATCTTGAACACGCGTATATTATTCATCTGGAAGGGGGAAACGTGGAAGGAAAAAACTTCCATAAGTTTTCACTCCCTTCAGGATGAAGTCCAAGCTCCACAAATTCCGGGTGCCTCGTGATTACAGAGATGGTTTTATAATGGTGGTTGAACCTGTAGGTTCTCAAGTCTTAAAAAAGATCTGCGTTTGAACCTCAGCAGTCACTGACGAGCTCTTGATCTTAGGCAAATTAGCCTCTTCAAGAGTGCTAAATGGGAGAAAGTAACAGGACTTTCCTCATAGGGTTTGATGATTTAGAGTAAAAAAAAAAAAAAAAGAAAAGAAAACCAGCACAGAGTCTTGTGTACTGAAGGTGCTTAATATCTTAACACAGCTGACTCTGTACAGTCTGGGGGCGAGGGGCACTGACCCCCAGCTCAGCCGAAAACCTCCATATAGGCTGGGCGCGGTGCCTCACGCCTGTAATCCCAGCACTATGTGGAAGGCCAAGGCCGGCGGATCAACTGAGGTCAGGAGTTCGAGACCAGCCTGGCCAACATGACAAAACCTGGTCTCTACTAAAAATACAAAAATTAGGCAGGCGTGGTGGCAGGTGCCTGTAATCCCAGCTACTTAGGAGGTTGAGGCAAGAGCATCGCTTGAACCCAGGACGTGGAGATTGCAGTGAGCCGAGATCGCACCACTGCACTCCATCCTGGGCGACAGAGCAAGACTGCCTCAAAAAAAAAAAAAAAAAAATCAAGAAAGAAAATCTGCATATAACTTTTGACTTCCCCAAAACTTAACTACTAGGCCAGGCACCGTGGCTCACACCTGTAACCCCAGGTGGGATTTGGGAAGCTGAGGTGGGCAGAGCACTTGAGCCCAGGAGTTCAAGACCAGCCTGGGCAACACGGCAAAACCCAGACTCTACAGAAAACAGAAAAATTAACTGGGTGTGGTGGTGTGTGCCCGTAGTTCCAGCTACTTGGGAGGCTGTGGTGGGAGGACTGCTTGAGTCAAGGAGGTTGAGGCAGCAGCGAACTAAGATCATGCCCCTGCACCCCAGCCCAGCTGGCAGAGCAAGACACTGTCTCAGGATTTAAAAAAAACATTACTCGTAGTTGACTGGAAGCCTTACCAATAACATAGTCAATTAACACATATTTTATACGCTATATGTATTATATTCTGTATTCCTATGATGAATTAAGCTAGAGAAAAGAAAATATTGGCCGGGCGTGATGGCTCATGCCTGTTACCCCAGCACTTTGGGAGGCTAAGGCGGGCGGATCACCAGGTCAGGAGATCGAGACCATCCTGGCTAACACGGTGAAACCCCATCTCTACTAAAAATACAAAAAATTTGCCGGGCGTGGTGGCAGGCACCTGTAGTCCCAGCTACCGGGGAGGCTGAGGCAGGAGAATGGCGTGAACCCGGGAGGCGGAGCTTGCAGTGAGCTAAGATCGCGCCACTGCACTCCAGCTTGGGTGACAGAGCGAGACTTCGTCTCAAAAAAAAAAAAAAAAGAAAATATTAAGAAAATTCTAAAAAAGAGAAAATATATTTACTATTCATTAAGTGGAAGTGGATCATCATAAAGGTCTTCATCCTTGTCTTCATTCTGAGTAGGCAGAGGTGCAGAAAGAAGAGGAGGGTTTGGTCTTGCTGTCTCAGGGTGCCAGAGGTGGAGGAGGTAAAAGGCAAAGCAGGAGAGGCAGGCATGCTCTGTGTAACCTTTACTTTTTTCAATCTGCATAAAAGTGGACCCGAGCAGTTCAGACCCATGTTGCTCAAGGGTCAACTGATGAGATCTGGCCTCACCCTGATCCTCTTCAGAAGCATGGTCCAGTCATATGGCACCAGGCCCTCTTCCACAAACCCCTCATGCTTCCTCCTCTCTCTCTCTCACTCAGGCTGGAGCCCTCTAGCCCTTCCTCTCTGAAAGGAGCACGGGTAATATAAGAGGAACCCTTGGTTTCCATCATGGGTTGCCAAGGACCAGCTGGGCATGCTTGGGGAGCTGAATTCCTTTCCTTTTGTACAAGTGTAATAAAATCTAATTATGCCCCATCCATAGGACGCAAAACCATGTAGCTGTTGGCAAAAATGAGACAAGCCTGGGCATATCCAATAAGCAAGATGCAGAAGTGTGCATAGTATGCTACAATTTTCATTAATAAAAATGACCTTAACGTATGTATATTTATTTAAAATATGCTTAGAAAGTCATGTAGGAGAAATTATAATTTCCAAATTGTCTCAGCCCTGATTTAAAAATTATAGTTTAAGCCACTCATTTATTTAGCAACAATGTATTGACTGCTGTGTGCCAGGAACTGTTCTTGGACCTGGGGATACTGCATGAACAAGGGTAAATAAAACAAAAACCAAAACCAAAACCTTGTCCTTAACTAGAAACAAATGCCAATCACCTGATGAATGGATAAATAAAATGGGGTTATGTCCATACAATGGAATATCCAGCAGTAAAGAGGAACAAAGCTGGCCGGGCACGGTGGCTCATGTCTATAATCCTAGCACTTTGGGAGGCTGAGGTGGGCGGATTGCCTGAGCTCAGGAGTTCGAGCCTGGGCAATTATGGTGAAACCCTGTCTCTACTAAAATACAAAAAATTAGCCTGACGTGGTGGCAGGCGCCTGTAATCCCAGGTACTTGGGAGGCTGAGGTGGGAGAATCGCTTGAACCCACTTGAACCCAGGAGGCAGAGGCTGCAGTGGGCCGAGATTGTGCCACTGCACTCCAGCCTGGGCAACAGAGCAAGACTCTGTCTCAAAAATAAAAAAAATAAATAATAATAATAATAATAAGCAAGGAAGAGAATGCACATGGCCAGTTCATGAGGAAGCTGCAAAGTAGGACCTTTGAGTTTTACTCTGAGATGGAAAACTCCAGGAAAGTTTTAGACAGAGCTGTGACATGGTCTGACTTATCTTTTAATATGATGATTCTGGCCGGGCGCGGTGGCTCACGCCTGTAACCCCAGCACTTTGGGAGGCCGAGGCGGGTGGATCACAAGGTCAGGAGATCGAGACCATCCTGGCTAACATGGTGAAACCCCGTCTCTACTAAAAATACAAAAAATTAGCCAGGTGAGGTGGCGGGCGCCTGTAGTCCCGGCTACTAGGGAGGCTGAGGCAGGAGAATGGCGTGAATCCGGGAGGCGGAGCTTGCAGTGAGCAGAGATCGCGCCACTGCACTCCAGCCTGGGCGACAGCGAGACTCCGCCTCAAAAAAAAAAAAAAAAAAAAAAACAAAAAAAAAAACGATGATTCTGGCTGCTCTGTTGAAAACAGACAACAGAGGGGCAAGAATGGAAGGCAGGGGATGAGTTAGGAAGCTATCAATATCAAATGAGCCATGGTTTGGTTTTTCTAAGATACTGGCAGTGAAGGTGGAGGGTGGGGCCTAACTGTGGATCCACAGTGCTTTGAACATGGCACCTATAGAATTTGTTGACTGACAACATGGGGGGACACCAGTCACAAAAGTTTTTTTTTGTTTGTTTGTTTTAAATAGAGATGAGATGAGGTCTCACTATGTTCAGCCAAGGCTGGTCTCAAACTCCTGAGCTCAGCGGCTCAACTGATCTTCCCACCTTGGCCTCCCAAAGTGCTAGGATTACAGGTCTGAGCCACCACATCTGGCCACAGGAGTTTTAAATGAGGAACTTTTCAGAGGAGAGACTCATGACAGAGGGAATGAGACTTCTAAGTACTTTGTTGTAGAGAGGAGAAAGGGTGGAGAATAGACTTACAAAGCCAATTATGAAGCAGGCACAAAGAGAGTATTGGCCAGACAGGGGTTAGCGTCATTTTTTTTCTTTTCTTTTTATTTTTTTGAGATGGAGTTTAGCTCTTGTTGCCCAGGCTGGAGTGTAGTAGTGCGATCTTGGCTCACTGCAACCTCTGCCTCCTGGATTCAAGTGATTCTCCTGCCTTAGGCTCCTGAGTAGCTAGGAGTACAGGCGCATGCCACCACGCCCGGCTAATTTTTTTTTTTGTATTTTTAGTAGAGATGGGGTTTCACCATATTGGCCAGGCTGATCTCAAACTCATCTGCCCACCTCAGCCTCCCAAAGTGCTGGGATTACAGGTGTGAGCCACCACGCCTGGCCCAGTGTCATATTTTAAATTAATCTAAACTTACAGGAAATTGAGATTCTATGAAGTCTGTTTACTGGGAATGGCAAGAAAGAGGGGAGATGGGAGTCTCTCTAAACCTATTCTGGTTCCAGAGGCTGCTCAATTCACACAAAAAAGAGAAAGAATGAAACATGGGGGGAAGAAATGGAAGAACTAGAGGTGGAGACTTTCAGCCCCAGAATTTTACCATGTGGAAGTTTTTGTTTGTTTTTGTTTTTTTGAGACAGTGTCTAGCTCTGTCGCCCAGACTGGAGTGCAGTGGCGTGACCTTGGCTCACTGCAACCTCCACCTCCCAGATTCAAGTGATTCTCCTGCCTCAGCCTCCGGAGTAGCTAGGATTACAGGCGCCCGCCACCACGCCCGGCTAATTTTTGTATTTTTCATAGAGGCGGGCCATGTTGGCCAGGATGCTCTGGAACTCCTGACCTCATGATCCGCCCGCCTTGGTCTCCCAAAGTGCTGGGATTACAAGCATAAGCCACCACGCCCAGACTCACCATGTGAATGTATTACACTGACAAAATAAACGTGACAAAATAAAACTGCACATTGATAAGATAAAGGTGTAATTATTGGAATAGTGGTAGTGTTCTAGTACTTTCTTAAGCAAAAACATGGGTAAATGATTTCATAAGTGCAAATTTTTTACAAATACATGTGTTTTAGCTTTTATAAAAATTGCAGAATATAACACATCCAAAAAAGAGTCTAAAATATAAATATACAGTATCAAAAAAATTCTCCACCACTACCCAGGCCATGAAAAAGCAGAACGCCTTCCAGAGTCCTTCCTTTCTCCCCAGGCTCTGAACTCCTAAAATTACAATACTCATTTCCTTTCATAATATATATATATATACACACACATATATATACATACATGTGTGTATATTTACATATATACACACACACATATATATATTTTTTGAGACAGGTTCTTGCTCTGTCTCCCAGGCTGGAGGGCAGTGGTGCAATCACAGCTCACAGCAGCCTCAACTTCCCAGGCTCAAGGGATCCCTGGCTAATTTTTTTTTAAATTATTTTTTGTAGAGACTGGGTATTACAATGTTGCCAGAGCTGGTCTCAAACTCCTGGGCTCAAGCGATCCCCCTGCCTTGGCCTCCAAAAGTTCTGTGGGATTACAGGTGTGGGTCATCGTGCCCAGCCTATATTTTTATTTATAACGTTTGTATGCATCTGGGAAATTTCATAGAAATCTTTTCAAGAGGAAGTTTAGTGAGGTAGAAAGAGTGCAGATTTAGGAGTCAGAAAAACCAATTTTGAAAGGCCAGGCCTGCTATTTACTAAGTGTGTGACTTTGGGCAAGTCAGTCCCCCCCCTCCAGGCCTTTTTCTCACCTGTACATGCAGATGAGACCATCCACGGGTTCCAGGACTGTCGCAAACATTCAAATCATGAACATTTATATACCAAGTTTATTGAGACCTCCTGAGACTTAAACCCTGTAGAAAACAGATGAATCAAACCCAGGCCCCATTCTCGGGAAGCTCACAGTGTGAAAATAGGTAACTACAAAAACACAGCCAATAAGTGCTTTGAAACAAGGAAGAACATAAAAAAGATGTAGTGTTCGAAAACCTGGAATCAAAAACTAACCGCGGAGAAAGGTAGGAGGATGTTCTAGACTCCCAGAGAAGAGCTGGGGAACATCCAGAAAGGCTCTTGCTGCCGACACAGCCACATCCCCTAGGTCTCTGGAGTTCACTGCAGGCTGGCCCATTGCAGGGAGGTGTAGACCACCTTACCATCAGGCTGCGGAGAACAGAGGAGCAGGGTCTTTCTGACGCTGGTTCCAAGGCGCCCAGCAGCAACCAGGTCTTGGAGTGGGATGGTGTCCTCGGGGGCCCAGCACTGAGCGATATAATGGGCGTGGAAGCGGAGGGGGTCACCTGGGGGAAGGAGAGAGGCACTGAAGCAGTGACCAATGGCAGACGGCTGGACGCCACGGGAACGACCACTGGGAGGAGATCTGAGATCATTTCAGCCATCACTATAGATACTCTAAAACAGATGCTCTTGGACACAACTATTCCACTTCTAGGCTTTTTTTTTTTTTTTTTTTTGAGACAAAGTCTCGCTCTTGTCCCCCAGGCTGGAGTGCAATGGCACGATCTTGGCTCACTACAACCTCTGCCCCCTGGGTTCACATGATTCTCCTGCTTCAGCCTCCCGAGTAGCTGGAAATACAGGCACCCACCACCACGCCCAGTTAGTTTTAGTATTTTTAGTAGAGATGGGGTTTCACCATGTTGGCCAGACTGGTATCAAACTCCTGACCTCAGGTGATCCACCTGTCTTGGCCTCCCAAAGTGTTGGGATTACAGGCGTGAGCCATTGCGCCCAGCCTGATGTCTAACTACTTCTAAGTGAATCTTCTGGATCACAGTAATCATTTAATAAAAGTCGTTAAACTGCTTGCCCAATGAGTTCAGGAGCTCCCAAATGTTTCCTGTCTGTCTATGAATTTCAGAGGCTAAGAGAAAGTGAGACAAAAAAGAAAAATGCAGCTGGGCCTATAATTCCAGCACTTTGGGGGGCCGAGGTGGAAGGATTGCTTGAGCCCAGGAATAGGGACCAGCCTAAGCAACAAGAGACCCCACCTCTATTAAGACAAAAAAAAAAAAAAGAAAAACGCAGAATACATTGGGATCGTATGGAAAGGCACAGCAACCAGAGGCCCCAACCCATACTCACCAGGATAGACCAGGAAGTCACCTCCGAACTTGCCAGCCGCACTGAGGAAGAAGCCTCGCTCCCACAGGTCTCTGTAGATACTGTAGCGCAGCTCGTGGGCAGGGCGGCCGGCGTGGGGCCAGTCTTTAGACTGGACACGCCAGTCCAGGGGCCTGGCCTTGACCGGTCGAGGCCTGGCAGTGGCCAGCTGGACAAGGAGAGCAGATCTGGGCAAGGGGGCTACCCCATTTGAGGGTCCTGCTTGGGAAGACGAGGGGCCTGGTGGGGAGTACAGAGAAGAGTTTGGTAAATTCAAGGGGTAAAGTCTTCTCACCCTCAGGGAGACCCAGGCACTGGATTCCCAGCTAAAATTCCTAAAAGATCTCTCCTCTCCTTCCCGTGGTCCCTGGACTCCACCTCCCATGCTCACCAGCTTCCTCCTGCTCTCCCGAAGCCTGGCCATCACTGGTCTCATCCTCTTTGGCAGCCTGGCTCGAGCCGGCCTCCTGGCTTGAGCTGGCCCCTGAAGCCTGTTCTAGTTTCTGCTTCTTAGCAGCCTGGCCCTCCGTAATCTTCTCCAGGAGCTCCTGACGACGGGTCTCCCGGGCCTCAGCTGCCAAGGCGCTCTGCTCCTGGAAGCTCTCCTCTTGCTGGCGCTTGAAGGATGTCAGGGCCTGAGAAGCACACTTCGCTGGAACCTCCAAGCTTATGGTCCCTTCAGAAGCCAGGAAACTTGACTCCCAGGTCCCGCTCCCACCGAACCCGAGTTCGAGCCCCGCCCCCTTACCAGGCTGTGGTGCCGAGAGTCTGGACGCGGGGCGCTGACCAGAGTCACGGCGCCGATCTCGGCCAAGAGCCGCGCCTCTTCGGGCATCAGCAGCAGCGGGAGGCCCAGGCGCGAGTTCTGGCGGGGCCCGCGGGGCAGGGCGCCTACCGTGCGGCCCCCCACACCCAGGCGCTCCCGGAGGGCCTGCACCGCCTCGGCTCCCCACACCAGGGAGCGGCCGTTCGCCACCTCCACCACCAGCATCCTCCTGCGGGAGCCGGGAGGCAAAGCAGTTACCGAAACAGCTGCGCGCCGCAGACCGCTGCAGCGCACCCAAAGCCTCCGGGGTCTCGGCGAAGCCCCGCCCCTAGGCCTCAGGGGGCGGGGCCTCGCTCAGCCGCCGTTCACCACCTGCTGGGCCCGAGCGCCAGGCCCCGCCCCCGGGCGATCCCACCAGGCCTCGCGGCCGCCGGAGACGAGACGCCGGAGACAAGCCCCCGACCCTCGCCCCTCGCCAAGCCCCCAGGGTCCCGCTCTACCCTTGTGACCCTGCGGTCGGCACCCGCTCTGTGCCCGCACTGCCGTACCTACCATTGCGCCTTGGAGCGTGAAAAACAAACCTCCGCAAGCGCGGCGACACGCCCCCTTACAAAGGTCCATTTTGGCACCACCCTCTTGCAAAGTGGGCGTCCCCCTTCGGGTGTTCCCGTCAGCGGTCAGAAGCTCTGGAGGCTAAGGCACCGCCGAGGCCACACCCTCTTCCGGACGCTCGAGCCTTCGCTCCTCCTCTTTCCGAACGACTGTGATTCGGCTTTCGGACCTCCTCGCTCTCAGACTCCCACAGTACAAAACCCTGCCCCCTCCCGAGCACAGGAAGTTCGGCGTTCGGGCGTCCTCGGCTCCACCGAATCCGCAGCCCCGCCCCCTTCCCGAACGCCAGCAATTTGACGTTCGGGTGTTCTCGGCTCGGCCGAATCCGTAGCCCCGCCTCCTCCCGGACGCAATAGGTTCGGCGTTCGGGCGTCATCGGCTCCCGGCAGCCTCGCGGCCTGTGGCCCCGCCCCCTCCGAGCGCCAGCGCACCCCAGTTGGGGAGTTCCCGCCCTACGACCGAACCCCACAGCCGAAAGCCCCGCCCCCTGGACACCCGCCGTCCACTCTCCGCTCGGGCGGGCTCACCCCAATTGGGAGCGCTCAGTCCGCCTCCTTGCCTCCCTTCAGAATGTCCCACTGTCCACCGATAGAACCAGCGAGTCACCTCATAAACAGTAATTCGCAGTCGAGGTGGAGCCACCCACTGCGCACCGCGCCACGCGCTCCTTGCTCCACCCCCTCATGCCGACACCCTCGTCAACTTCGTCATCCCGCCCCATCAGCGCCGCGGGAAGTCAGGTCCCGCCCCTCGCAGGACCGAAGCCCCGCCCTCCTCCCGCGGGGGCCACCTTGGCTCCGCCCCACTGAGCGCACCTCCCTCTGCCGCTTCCTCTCCTCTACTTGGGAACTTGAGGATCGTCACCCTGGCCCGGTCCCGTAGGCGCACGCCGGCCCTCGGGGTTCCGCCCCTTTGAGGGCAAGTCGCTTTCGCCCCGCCCCCTTGTAAATACTCATGGGTATCTGGCGAACCTGTTGACTCCGCCTATCATCCTAGCGTCACTTGTACCCAACTATCTACGAAGTAAACCGAAGCTTGTGGCCCCACCCACATCCGGCCGAGTCTGTGGCCCCGCCCACATCGGAACAGTGACCCTAAGGACTCGACTACCTCCGAAGAAAGCCGAAACATGTGGCTCCGCCCACACTGGCCTCAGCTCTCCGTTCTCGACTATTGCCGAAGTGAGCCGAAGTTTGTGGCCCCGCTTCCGGAGAACTCAAGCTCCCGATTGTGCCCGAAGGAACCCGAAGGGAGACCCCGCCTCATTCCTCACGGCGAGCTCCAGACCCCGCCTCCTTTCCGGAGCCCGTCTGTTCCCCTTCGGGTCCAAAGCTTTTGGCTCCTCCTTGTTCCGAGCCCGAAGGCCCGCCCCTTCACGTACTCGGAGCTCGGATCCCAGTGTGGACCTGGACTCGAATCCCGTTGCCGACTCGCGCTCTCGGCTTCTGCTCCGGGGCTTCTTCCCTGCCCGCCCGGGGCCCTGACCGTGGCTTCTTCCCCGGCCTGATCTGCGCAGCCCGGCGGGCGCCCAGAAGGAGCAGGCGGCGCGGGGGCGCGCTGGGCGGGGGAGGCGTGGCCGGAGCTGCGGCGGCAAGCGGGCTGGGACTGCTCGGCCGCCTCCTGCCCGGCGAGCAGCTCAGGTGGGCCAGGGTGGCGGCGCCCAGTGGCGAGGCGAGGTTACACGGCGGCAGGGTCTCTGCGGGCTGGCGGGTGCGGGGCGGCCCCGGAGGCGCGTTGGAACTCGGGGCTGGCGCAACCGCCTGTGGCTCTGCCGGGGATGCGCTGGGGTGCGCGGGACGGGTTGGGGCTGGGCCTGGGCCTGGGCCTGGGGAGGGGAGGGTGTTCGATCCCCGGGTTCTCAGTAGGAGAGGGGTGTGGAGCTCCGAAGGAGGTGCAGGTTGGAGACCCGGGCTCCTCTGGGTGGTCTCGAAGAAGGGCTGGGGGGTCCGGATATCTGGTTTCACAAGGGCCGGGGGATGGGGGATCCAAAGAGGGGGTCTGGGTTCCTGGATCCTCGCTGGAAGAGGGGGCTCGGAGGTCTAGATTCCTGGGCTGTCGAAGAGGAAGGGTCCGGGAGGGGTGCCGTTTCTGGGTTTTTAAAAGAGGGGCGTCTTCAAATCTGGGTCCCCAGTATGGGTGCGGGGAGTAGCTTTGATTTCTGCGTTCGCAAAGGAGGGGCTTGGGTGCTGGGAGATCCCCACACTTTCCTGGGTTCTCCAAGGACAGGAGAGCTGGAGGCCTGTGCGCTCAAAGGAGGGGCTGGGGGTGGATTCCTGTCTCCTCCAAGGAGGAAGGGGCTGGAGTCCGGGTTGCTAGGTTCTCAAAGGAGAGGAGCTGAGGCTCATACTCCATCATCCTCAAAAACTGGGGTCTAGAAGGCTGGGTTCCTGGATCCTCGAAGAGGGAGGAGGCAGGGGGCCTGGATTCCTGGGTTCTCACTGTGAATCTCTGCCCCTCCCCCAGACCATGTCGCCTGAAGAATGGACGTATCTAGTGGTTCTTCTTATCTCCATCCCCATCGGCTTCCTCTTTAAGAAAGCCGGTGAGTCAGGCTCCCTCCCCAGTGGAAAATAAAGGGGGGGGACCCTCTGGAAGGTTCCAGGCTTATGCTGTCCCTTCCCCCTGCAGGTCCTGGGCTGAAGAGATGGGGAGCAGCCGCTGTGGGCCTGGGGCTCACCCTGTTCACCTGTGGCCCCCACACTTTGCATTCTCTGGTCACCATCCTCGGGACCTGGGCCCTCATTCAGGCCCAGCCCTGGTGAGAATTTGGTGGAGGGAGGAGAGGGAGAGGAGGGGAGAGGGGGAAGCAACCTGTTTCCTCTTTGAGTCTTTTTCAGCTTCTGCCTCATCTCTAGCTGTCTCTTGTTGATCAGCTCATTTCTCTGTTTCATGTTTGTTTGTTTGTTTGTTTTTCTTTCTTTCTTTCTTTTTGAGATGGAGTTTCGCTCCTGTTGCCCAGGCTGCAGTTCAGTGGCACGATCTTGGCTCACTGCAACCTCCACCTCCCGGGTTCAAGCGATTCTCTTGCCTCAGCCTCCCAAGTAGCTGGGACTACAGGCATGCTCCACCACGCCTGGCTAATCTTGAATTTTTAATAGAGCCGGGGTTTCTCCATGTTGGTCAGGCTGATCTCGAACTCCTGACCTTGTGATCTGCCCACCTCAGCCTTCCAAAGTGCTGGGATTACAGGCGTGAGCCACCGTATCCGGCCTTCATCTGCTTTTCTTTCTCCCCTGCCTTCTGCGTCTGGTCCCTGTGTGTTTGTCCCAGTCCGCTACATCCATGTCATGGAGAGAGGTGGACAGTGTGTCTGCTGGCCTGGCCACCGTTCATATTCATTCATATCCACCTCTCTCTTCTTGAGCCCTGGACCTCGGAAATAAAGAAAAAGTGGAGGATTGCAGGGTCTTCACCTGAAGCTTCTCTTAACCTCATTCTCTGTTGGTGTGTGTTTCTATGTGGCTGAGCCTCTTCTCCCACTGTTTCAATCATACTCATTCGGTCCCTACATCCACCCTCCTGTCCTCTCTGCCCTTCTGTGTTTCTGTCTCTAAACGAATGGGGAGAGCTGGGGGAGGATTGGTGGCTGGACTCGTGGAGTGAATGGCCAAGGCCGAGACTTCTGTGCCCAACACAGTGCGCCTCCTGCTTTTGCCCAGCTCCTGCCACGCCCTGGCTCTGGCCTGGACTTTCTCCTATCTCCTGTTCTTCCGAGCCCTCAGCCTCCTGGGCCTGCCCACTCCCACGCCCTTCACCAATGCCGTCCAGCTGCTGCTGACGCTGAAGGTCAGACTCGGGGCTTGCCACTCCCCTCCAGCCTCCCTGTGGGCCCCTTCACCTCCCACTTTACCTCCCCCTTCAGTGGCTCCCCGGGATTTTACCTCCAACACACCCTGGGGGTGGGACGTCACCTCACTTGCTGCCCTGGGCACAGCATTCCCCATTCACATGCCCTTGGGCAGGTCTTCACCTCCCAGCTCCTCCTGGGGTGAGGAAATAACCCACATAGGTAACAGTAGGTGCCATTGGGTGCTTGCGGTGTGCCAGAGGCCCAGCTGGGTGGTTTACCAACATGCTGTCCTTGAATCTCTGTAGCCAGCTATTTTGCAAAGGAGAAAAACCAGCTCTGGGGAGAAGGTACTTGGTGAAGGGAACAAAACTAGGGCATCCAGGTCTGGCTCCTAATCACCTGGGAAGAGGGGTAAAAACAGAATCCTAGGGCCCACCCCAGACCCACAGAGTCATGGTTTCCTACTGGCGGCTTATCCGTGAACACAGCAGTCATGCTAGGTAGGGAGTGGCCTTCCCAGCATTCAGTGTGCCCTGTGGGAGCTCAGTGGTGGCAGGAGTAGGTTGGATGAGAGAGGGGTTCGTGGAGGAGCATTTCAGGCCGCAGGATGTGTGGAGGGGAGCAGGCTGGGTTCCACAGGCTACACCAGCCACATCCACTTTCTGGGACGAGCAAAAGGGAACAGGCAGCAGGGCTGACACCGTGCTAGGCCTGGCTGGAGACCGTGAGGACATTGGACTTCTTCCCGTGGAGGATTGAGATCTGCTGGAAGAGGGGATTTTTGGTTTGCTGCCAGAAGAGGCAATGTGACCAGTTTTAAATGTTTAAAAATACTCGTTCTGGCTGGGCACAGTAGCTCACGCCTGTAATGCCAGCACTTTGGGAGGCTGAGGCAGGCGGATCACCTGAGGTCGGGAGTTCAAGACCAGCCTGACCAAAATGGAGAAACCCTGTCTCTACTAAAAATACAAAAGATTAGCTGGGCGTGGTGGCACATACCTGTAATCCCAGCTACTCGGGAGGCTGAGGCAGGAGAATTGCTTGAACCCAGGAGGCGGAGGTTGTGGTGAGCTGAGATCGTACCATTGCACTCCAGCCTGGGCAACAAGAGCAAAACTCCATCTCAAAAATAAATAAACAAATAGAAATACTCATTCTAGGCCAGCTGCGGTGGCTCACGCCTGTAATCCCAGCACTTTGGGAGGCTGACGCGGGTAGATCACCTGAGGTTAGGAGTTTGAGACCATCCTGGCCAACATGGTAAAACTCCGTCTCTACTAAAAATACAAAAATGAGCCGGGTGTGGTGGCTCACACCTGTAATCCCAGCTACTCAGGAGGCTGAGGCAGGATAATTGCTTGAACCTGGAAGGTGGAGGTTGCAGTGAGCCAAGATCCCGCCATTGCACTCCAGCCTGGGCCTTCCCGGGCAAGATTCCATCTCAAAAAAAAAAGAAAAGAAAAGAAAGAAAACTCGTTCTGGATGCTGAAGGAGAATTGAAGTGGAACAGGGCAAGATGGGATGGACTCAGATAAAGGGATCCTCCTTTGTCCGAGTCCAGGTGACAAACTGTGGTGGCTTGATACAGGCCGTTGGCTGGCTGTGGGTAGGTCTGAGTTGCAGCAGGAAACGCGCATTTAGGATGACTGAAGGAGTGGCCACCAATTGGGCAGGATGTAGAAGAGCAAGAAGGGATGGTGCCTGAACCCCAGCCCCGCAGAAGGAGCCGTTCCCAACCCTAGGCCCAGGGGAAATGGGTCAGGTTGTGGTACCTGGATGGAAAAAGGGTTGTGTAGGCCTGGTGCAGTGGCTCATACTTGTATAATCCCAGCGCTTTGGGAGGTCATAGTGGGAGGACTGCTGGAGGCCAGGAGTTTAAGACCAGCCTGGGCAATATAGTGAGACCCTGTCTCTACAAAAAATTAATTTTTTAAATGTTATTTATTTTTAAAGATGGAGTCTCGCTCTGTTGCCCAGGCTGGAGTGCAGTGGTGTGATCTCACTGCAACCTCTGCCTCTCGGGTTCGAGCGATTCTCCTGCCTCAGCCTCTCGAGTAGCTGGGACTACAGGCGCCCACCACCACGCCTTGCTAATTTTTATATTTTTAGTAGAGATGGGGTTTCACCATGTTGGCCGGGCTGGTCTCAAACCCCTGACATCAAGTGATCTGCCTGCCTAGGCCAACCAAAGTGCTAGTGTTATAGGTGTGAGCCGTCACACCTGGCCCTAAATTTTTTTTTTTTTTTTTTTTTTGAGACGGAGTTTCACTCCTGTTGCCCAGGCTGGAGTGCAATGGTACGATCTTGGCTTACCGCAACCTCCGCCTCCCAGGTTCAAGCGATTCTCCTGCCTCAGCCTCCTGAGTAGCTGGAATTACAGGCACTCACCACCATGCCCGGCTAATTTTTTGTATTTTTAGTAGAGACAGGGTTTTTCCATGTTGGTCAGGCTGATCTCGAACTCCCAACCTCAGGTGATCCGCCTGCCTCGGCCTCCCAAAGTGCTGGGATTACAGGCGTGAGCCACCGCGCCCGGCCAAAATTATTTTTTTTAAAGGGTGTGTAGAGCCACCCACCTTGAAATGATCTATCAAGGGTGACAGCCAGCCCAAGGCCATCTTACAAGGGAATAAAAGCCCTACCCTCCCTCTCCTGACTTTGTCTCCAGCCAGGGATTTCTACTGACAACCCAGCCACAAGCTGGAAGAAGGAGATCTATTGATATAGGGTGGACCTTGGGACTGGTGGGAAAGGGTGGAGAGTACAACATATTCAGCTCAGTAGTGGAGATGGAAAGAGGCAACAGACTCAAACTTAAGGGATTTCAAGGCGGGCAGATCACTTGAGGCCAGGAGTTCGAGACCAGCCTGGCCAGCTGAGGCATGAGAATTGCTTGCGCCCCCAGGAGGTGGGGGTTGCAGTGAGCCGAGATCACACCAGTATACTCCAGCCTGGGTGACAGAGCAAAACTTGTCTCAAAAAAAAAAAAAAAAAAAAAGAGAGATTAAAGGATCGGATTTGGGGAGTGAGGGAGATTTTTGGCTTGAACAATTTGGTGGCCTGTTGTTTGAGGGGAGACACTAGAAGAGGGTCTACCTTGTGGGGTGGGTAACATCATGTTCCGTTTCCAGTGCGTTTGGGGTGCCTGGAGACATCCGAGTATAAATGCCAATAAGCCACTTGATTGGATAGGTCTGGGGCTGGGGTAGCGTTTGGGCGTCCTCAGCGTGTGGATAGTATCGAAACCTCCGTGATTGCGTGAGAGCAGGTAAGCACAGAACAGGGAAAGGGGAGGAGGGCCTGGGACTGAGCCCTGGGGAACACCGCCCAGCTAGAGGCGTTACACACAACCTAGATGGGCAGAGCTGCGGGCACCCAGCACCCCTTGGCTGCCGAGGGCAGCCGCGCAAGGGAGATGGGTGTGGGGAAGGGCCCAGAGTCTGACCTGGCCCCTTGCCCACCCCCTTCTGCCCAGCTGGTGAGCCTGGCCAGTGAAGTCCAGGACCTGCATCTGGCCCAGAGGAAGGAAATGGCCTCAGGCTTCAGCAAGGGGCCCACCCTGGGGCTGCTGCCCGACGTGCCCTCCCTGATGGAGACACTCAGCTACAGCTACTGCTACGTGGGAATCATGACAGGTGAGTGGGGCTGCCCTAACAACTCTGCCGCTCTGTCTCCTGTGTCCCCTTCCGCCCTGAGTGCCTGTTGTGTGTTCCCGCCCTGCCCAGGGCAACCTCCATCCTAGCATCTGCTGCTGTGAGGGTGGGCATGTGTCTGGGTCTACGTCTCACACCTCCGCTGGACCAGAGCTGCTTTGGGGTAGAAGCTGGCTGTCTCAACCTAAGCAATTCCTTGCTCTTCTCCTTGTAGCGTATTGGGAGCAAAGAGAAGAGATAAAGGAGGTAAAGATCTATGTCAACCTGATGTTTTTGCTTCCCAGACAACAAATATTCACGGCTTAGGGTCCACTTTCAGCTTAAGGAAATATTTTTCATCTGGGCGTGGGGGCTTATGCCTATAATCCTAGCACTTTCGGAGGCTGAGGCGAGAGGATTGCTTGAGGCCAAAAGTTCAAGATCAACTTGGCCAACATAGCAAGATCCCGTCCCTTTATTTTAAACCTTTATTTTTAAAAAATAAATAAATATAAAATTAAAAGGGCCGGGCGCAGTGGCTCACGCCTGTAATCCCAGCACTTTGGGAGGCTGAGACAGGCAGATCACCTGAGGTCAGGAGTTTGAGACCAGCCTGGCCAACATGGTGAAACCCCGTCTCTACTGAAAATACAAAAATTAGCCGGGCATGGTGGTGTGTGCCTGTAATCCCAGCTACTTGGGAGGCTGAAACTGGAGAATCGCTTGAACCCACGAGACGGAGTTTGCAGTGAGCCAAGATCACACCACTGCACTCCATCCTGGGCAACAGAGCAAGACTCCATCTCAAAAAATACATATGTATGTGTGTGTGCATGTGTGTATATATATGTATGTGTGTATGTGTATATATATGTGAAATTTTAAAAAGAAAATATTTTTCATTAATGTTTACCTCATCAAAGGTTTTTTTTCCAATAACAGCTTTAGGGAACTCTAATTCACATACTCATCCACTTAAAACATACAACTCTTGGCTTCTTTAATTTCCTGGAAAAAAAAAAAAACACAAAACATACAACTCCCTGATTTTTAGTATATTCACCGAGTTGTGCAGACATGACCATTGTGTAGTTATATTCAGAACAGTTTCATACCCTGCAAAGAAACCCCATGTCCATCATCCCACAAACCTCCATCCATCCCTGGTAACCAGTAATTGACTTTCTATCTGTAAAGATTTGCCTGTTCTGGACATTGCGCTTACAAATGGAATCATACAACATGTGGTCTTATTTATTTATTTTAATTTGTTTTTTTTTTCCTTTTATCTTCCCATGCTACATTGACCTAAACATACGGCCTTTGTGAACATATAAAAATTTTAACCCCGGTCCCTTCTGTGAATCACACTGCTTCCTCCCTAGGCCAGACCACCATCATATTGTAGCTAAAGTGCCACAGCTATCTCCTAGTTTCTTTCCTTCCTCCTTCCCTCCGTCCTTCCCTTTTCCCTTCTTCCTTCCTTCCCTCCTTCCTTCCCTCCCTCCTTCCTTCCCTCCTTCCCTCCCTCCTTCCTTCCCTCCCTCCTTCCTTCCCTCCTTCCCTCCCTCCTTCCTTCCCTCCTTCCCTCCCTCCCTCCCTCCTTCCTTCCCTCCCTCCTTCCTTCCCTCCCTCCTTCCTTCCCTCCTTCCTTCCCTCCTTCCTTCCCTCCCTCCTTCCTTCCCTCCTTCCCTCCCTCCTTCCTTCCCTCCCTCCTTCCTTCCCTCCTTCCCTCCCTCCTTCCTTCCCTCCTTCCCTCCCTCCCTCCCTCCTTCCTTCCCTCCTTCCCTCCCTCCCTCCTTCCTTCCCTCCTTCCCTCCCTCCCTCCTTCCTTCCCTCCTTCCCTCCCTTCTTCCTTCCCTCCTTCCCTCCCTCCTTCCTTCCCTCCTTCCCTCCCTCCCTCCTTCCTTCCCTCCTTCCCTCCCTCCTTCCTTCCCTCCTTCCCTCCCTCCCTCCTTCCTTCCCTCCTTCCCTCCCTTCTTCCTTCCCTCCTTCCCTCCCTCCTTCCTTCCCTCCTTCCCTCCCTTCTTTCTTCCCTTCTTCACTCCTTCCCTCCCTCCCTCCCTCCCTCCCTGGCTGGAATGCAGTAGCTCAGTCACTGCTCACTGCAGCCTGGGCTCAAACGATCCTCCCGCCTCAGCCTCCCCAGTAGCTGGGAATTCAGGTGCCCTCCACACCTGGCTGATTTTTATTTTTTGTAGTGATGGGGTCTTGCCGTTTTGCCCAGGCTGCTGTCCAACTGTTGGGCTCAAGCAGTCCTCCCAGCTAGGCCTCCCAAAGTGCTGGGATTCCAGGTGTGAGCCACCGCACCGGCCCCTCTGTCTGTTTTTCTGTTACTGTCTCTGTCTCTCTGAGTTTCTTGTCCCCCCTGTCTCTCGTTCCTTATCCCCATCTCTCAGGGTCTCAGTCCCTACCCTTGGGGTCTCCCCGGCGCCCAGTCTCTGCCCCTCTCACTCCCTCTTCCCACCTTCCTTCCAAGCTCCCTGTCCTCCTCCTGCAGACTTGAGCTCTGCCCACCTGCCTGTCTGACCGCGGCCCTCCCTCCCCGCCCCACAGGCCCGTTCTTCCGCTACCGCACCTACCTGGACTGGCTGGAGCAGCCCTTCCCCGGGGCAGTGCCCAGCCTGCGGCCCCTGCTGCGCCGCGCCTGGCCGGCCCCGCTCTTCGGCCTGCTGTTCCTGCTCTCCTCTCACCTCTTCCCGCTGGAGGCCGTGCGCGAGGACGCCTTCTACGCCCGCCCGCTGCCCGCCCGCCTCTTCTACATGATCCCCGTCTTC
The DNA here is from genome assembly GCF_000001405.40 of Homo sapiens. Classification (NCBI taxonomy): domain Eukaryota; kingdom Metazoa; phylum Chordata; class Mammalia; order Primates; family Hominidae; genus Homo; species Homo sapiens. Next base: position 155,743 of record NW_003571055.2, on the reverse strand, counting down.
TTCGCCTTCCGCATGCGCTTCTACGTGGCCTGGATTGCCGCCGAGTGCGGCTGCATTGCCGCCGGCTTTGGGGCCTACCCCGTGGCCGCCAAAGCCCGGGCCGGAGGCGGCCCCACCCTCCAATGCCCACCCCCCAGCAGGTCAGGCGGCGCGAGGGAGGCTTCCCAAGACCCAGCAGCCCCCACCTCCAAGGGCTGGCTCTGCCCCTAGCCGGGAGGAGAGCGGGGAGCAAGGGGCCAGGGCCACCACCTTTTTGAGCAGAGTGTCGCCCCCTCGGCAACCATGGCCTGCCAGCCCCTGTCGGTAGGGAAAAGATCCCTGGTACTGACAGATGCCCCTTGTTGCTAGCGCTTGTCACCCCGCAGTGTGGTGAACTGCCCCCTGTCGCTAGGAAAAGGTGGTAACTTAGCAACCCTGTGCCACCCCTCTGTTGCCACAGAAGTGTCACCCCCCAGAACCAGATTGTTCCTGCTTGCTGGGGATGCCATCCTTTGCTAGTGGTGGGTCACCCTCTGTTGCTAGGGAAACGGTTCCCTAGCAACAGAACGCCACTATTTGCTAGGGAAGCAGGATCCCTAGCAACAGTAGCTCACCTCCTTTTTACCAGAAGTTTTGCTCTGTTGCTGCAGATACGGCACTCCCTGCACTGCCCCTTTGTTGCTAGGAGCTAGCACTGCTCCACCCCGTGGGATGTCCTCACATAGCAGCCCTCAGCAGCCCTCTGCAAGGAAATAGCAATTTCCAATCCCTGACCAGTGCTGTTCCCCAGCAGAGGGCACGCCATTCCTACCAACTACAGTTACACTGTTGCTAAGGAAGCCAAACCTCCCCCTGGAAACTATGGGTTGACCCTTGTTGCCAGAGAGGCTCCACCCCCCGGCACCTGCATTGCTAGGCAAGTCGCACGGCCATAGCTGTGGACTCTCTTGTGGCTGAGGAAGTATTGCCCCCGTGTTGCTAGGGAGATGGCACCCCCGGCAACCAGGAGTAGACTGCCCTTGTGTTCCTGACAGCTGCAGTCAGCCTTCCCCCAGGGGCTTGGACTGCGGCTGGGGGAACAGCCTGTTGATGTAAATGATGAACTACTACTCCCTGCTAGGGTTGTCCCCTAGTCGTCACAAACTGCCATTCTGTTGTGGGGGTAGTGACACCCCCACGGGAATTTGTTACCACTGCCCTAATAACCGTGCCCTGACCTCCAGCTGCTAGAGAGAGGATGTCCCCCTAGTAAAGCCAAGCAGGAATTGAAGGTTTTTCTAAATCTGCTCGGTCCTCACTCCTAAAGGATGGCTCCCCTCCTGTCATCAGAGGCCACCAAGGCTTCATATGGGCCAGTGTTTCCCACTGCTGGGGCTGTCGACATGAGTGATGAGGGAGCCACTGTATTGCTAGAGGTGACACTTCTCCAATAATCACTGCGACCAGGAAAAAAGCCCCTTCCTAAAAGCCTTTCTAAACATCCTAGGCATTGTTGCTAAGGAATGCCTTTTCCTTAGCAACAAAGATCATGGGGACCCCACTGGCGCCTGGAACATCTCCCTAGCAACCGTGAAGCACCTTGTTATTAGGGATGATAACCACAACTTCCCTGGCAACTGCAGTGTCCGACAATTTAGAAGGGACCATCCTTGGCGGCTTCTCTGAATATACTGAGTTTGGTTGCTAAAGGACTCATAGCTTAGCAACCATAGCCCTTCAAGGCTTTTCATGGCTGTGGCGGGCCCCATTAGGTACCAAAAGAAGAAGAACCCCATTGTCAGTGAACTGTACCACCCAGCCCACCCACCTTCCTACCCTACAGGCACCCTCTGGGCCACCCTCCCTTGCTGCCCTAGCAAGTCTGACAGCCAGAGGGCCATTGCCTGGCCAGGATCCCTTCCTTAGCATCCGGGGCTGGGACACTAGCAGGCGTCGGGAGGGGGCCTGGCTGAGCTGCATGTCTGTCCCCCACCCTCATCCTCCACCCCCCAGTCCGGAGAAGGCGGCTTCCTTGGAGTATGACTATGAGACCATCCGCAACATCGACTGCTACAGCACAGATTTCTGCGTGCGGGTGCGCGATGGCATGCGGTACTGGAACATGACGGTGCAGTGGTGGCTGGCGCAGTATATCTACAAGAGCGCACCTGCCCGTTCCTATGTCCTGCGGTGAGTGAGCCCGCCCAGTCTCAGGTGACACTGCAGAACTACATCTCCCAGCAGGCCCCAGGGTAGCCTGCAGCGTCCCTGGCTGGGCCCCTGCCCCCGGAGGCTCATGGGAATTGTAGTTTGTTTAGCCTGGTTTTGCCCTGCCTCTAATTATAGTGGCAGCATGCCGGTGTAAAATCGTTCCCCCTCTCGGGGCCTCAGTTGCTACTTCTGTAAAGTCAGCCTCACTCAGCAGAAGCAATGTACTGAGTCCTGTGGACTCAATAGCCAGCCTTCCTGGAATCTTGGCCGTCCAGGTTATGGAGAAACCTTGAGGAGTTAGTTGACCTCTTAGTTGCCTCAAGTGTTGAATGGAGTGAATGCTATTTATTACTGGTTTCATAGGTAGATAGAAGGACTAAATGTGATAAAATGTGAAATGTATTTAATGTGAGGCCTGACAGGTAAGTGCGTGCTGTGTATTCATTTTTATTGTTTTTCATTCTTCCAATATTTCTCGAGTGGAGACTCTGTGCTTGACACTGTTATCTGTGCAGCCTTTAGAAGCAGAAACTCAGCCGGGTGCGGCAGCTCACGCCTGGAATCCCAGCACTTTGGGAGGCCCAAGCAGGTGGATCATGAGGTCAGGAGTTCGAGACCAGCCTGACCAACATGGTGACATGCTGTCTCTACTAAAAATACAAAAAATTACCCTGGTGTGGTGGTGGGCGCCTGTAGTCCCAGCTACTCGGGAGGCTGAGGCAGGAGAATGGCTTGAACCCGGGAGGCAGAGGTTGCAGGGAGCTGGGATCTCGCCACTGCACTCCAGCCTGGGCGACAGCGAGACTCCGTCTCAAAAAAAAAAAAAAAAAAAAAAAAAAAAAAAAAAACAGAAGTAGAACTCATAGCCAGGCATGGTGGCTCACACTTGTAATCCCAGCAGTTTGGGAGGCCCAGGCAGGTGGATCATCTTGAGGTCAGGGCAATATGGTGAAGACCAGCCTGGGCAATATGGAGAAACCCCTTCTCTACTAAAAATACAAAAAATTAGCTAGGCATGGTGGCGGGCGCCTATAATCCCAGCTACTAGGGAGGCTGAGGCAAGAGAATCACTTGAACCCGGGAGGCGGAGGTTGCGGTGAGCCAAGGTCACCTGGGCAACAGAGAGAGACTTTGTCTCAAAATAAAATAAAATAGGCCGGGCACGGTGGCTCATGCCTATAATCCCAGCAATTTGGGAGGCCAAGGTGGGTGGGTCACAAGGTCAGGAGATCAAGACCATCCTGGCTAACACGGTGAAACCCTGTCTCTACTAAAAATACAAAAAATTAGCCGGGTGTGGCGGCGGGTGCATGTAGTCCCAGCTACTGGGGAGGCTGAGGCAGGAGAATGGTGTGAACCCGGGAGACGGAGCTTGCAGTGAGCCGAGATCGCGCCACTGCACTCCAGCCTGGGCAACAGAGCGAGACTCTGTCTCAAAAACAAACAAACAAAAAAACACAAAAAACAAACAAAAATAATTATTAATTTAATTTAATTTAATTAGATAAATGTGGAAGGGGAAGACCCAGGAAGGGTAAGTTTTGGGAGTAAGAAGGATATTATTATTAGTATTAGTATTAGTATTAGTATTAGTATTAGTATTAGTATTAGTATTTTGATGCTCTGTCACCCAGGATGGAGTGCAGTGTTGTGATCTCAGCTCACTGCAACCTCCATCTCCTGGGTTCAAGTGATTCTCGTGCCAAGAGTAGACGCAGGGTTTCACCATGTTGGCCAGGCTGGTCTCGAACTCTTGGCCTCAAGTGATCCGCGTGCCTCGGCCTCCCAACGTGCTGGGATTACAGGCGTGAGTCACCATGCCCGGCCAAAATTTTTTAAGTATTATTATTATTTTTTTTTTACTTTTTAAAAAATGTATAGAGATGAGGTCTCACTGTGTTGACCAGGCTGGTCTCAAACTCCTGGCCCCAAGCAGTCCTCCCATCTCAGCCTCCCAAAGTGCTGAGATTACAAGCATGAGCCACTGCATCTGGCCAGGTATAGATGACGCTTAAAGCTCTGGGGCTGAGGCCAGGTCAAAGCACCCCAGTGTTTAGACAAGTGCTTCTCAACTGGGGGCAACTGTGCTGCTGCTGCACCCCCAGGAGACACATGGCAATCCCTGGAGACATGTTGTTGTAACTGGAAGGTGCTAGTCGGATGTCGTGGGTGGGGGCCAGGGATGCTCCTAAACACCTTAAAATGCACAGGATCCATCGTTTTTGTTTATTTTACAGCTCAAGTGCAGTGGCGTGATCTCGGCTCACTGCAACCTCTCCCTCCCAGGTTCAAGCAATCCTCCTGTCTCAGCCCCCCTAGTAGCTGGGATTATAGGCACGTGCTACCATGACAGACTAATCTTTGTATTTTTAGCCTCCCAAAGTGCTGGGATTACAGGTGCCAGCCATTGCACCCAGCCTCCGCACTCTTGAAGAACCAGAAAGCCAATGGTCCTCCCTTCTCAAGAAAACAAGAGTTGGCCAGGTGCAATGGCTGACATCTGTAATTCCAGTATTTTGGGAGGCCAAGGTGAGAGGATCACTTAAGCTCAGGAGTTCGAGACCAGCCAGGTCAACATAGCAAGACTCCATCTTTACAAAGAAAAAAAAAGAGGCTGGGCGCGGTGGCTCAGACCTGTAATCCCAGCACTTTGGGAGGCCAAGGTGGGTGGATCACAAGGTCAGGAGATCGAGACCATCCTGGCCAACGTGGTGAAACCCCATCTCTACTAAAAATACAAAAATGGCTGGGTGCAGTGGCTCACGCCTGTAATCCCAGCACTTTGGTAGGCCACGGCGGGTGGATCACAAGGTCAAGAGATTGAGAGCATCCTGGCCAACATGGTGAAACCCCGTCTTTACCAGAAATACAAAAATTAGCCTGGCATGGTGGTGGGCACCTGTAGTCCCAGCTGCTCGGGAGGCTGAGGCAGGAGAATCACTTGAACCCGGGAGGCAGAGGTTGCAGTGAGCCGAGATTGCGCCACTGCACTCCAGCATGGGCGGCAGAGCGAGACTCCGTCTGAACAACAACAACAAAAAATACAGAAATTAGCTGAGTTTGGTGGCGCTTGCCTGTAATCCCAGCTACTTGGGAGGCTGAGGCATAAGAATCGCTTGAATCCAAGAGGCAGAGGCTGCAGTGAGCCTTGTCGTGTGGCAACAGAGCGAGACTCTGTCTCCAAAAAAATAAAAAGAGTGAGGAAAGATGGTGCTGGGCCTTGGAGGAAGAGGAACATATCTCCTGGGCCCAGAATAAGGAAGGACCACAGGCCAGGGACTTCTGGATCTTCATGAGCCAGGCAGGAGTTGTCAAATGTTAACAGGCATCAGAGTCACTGGAGGACTTGTTAACTTGGAAGACTTCTCCTGGGCCCCACCCCCAGGGCTTCTGGTGCAAAAGGGGTGGGGACAAGGATTTGTATGTCTCACAAGTTCTCAGGTGATGCTGATGCCAGACCTGGGACCCCAGGTTAAGAACCACCGGGCTGCCCGGGTGTGGTGTCTGACACCTGTGATCCCAGCACTTTGGGAGGCCAAGGCGGGCAGATCACGAGGTCAGGAGATCGAGACCATCCTGGCTAACACGGTGAAACCCCGTCTCTACTAAAAATAGAAAAGAAAATTAGCCGGGCGTGGTGGCGGGCGCCTGTAGTCCCAGCTACTCGGGAGGCTGAGGCAGGAGAATGGCGTGAACCTGGGAGGCGGAGCTTGCAGTGAGCCAAGATCGCGCCACTGCACTCTAGCCTGGGCGACAGAGCGAGACTCTGTCTCAAAAAAAAAAAAAAAAAACCACTGGGCTGAAGAATTAAGACTTGTTGGTCCTGGGAGAGGAAGGGCAGTGGAATATAAAATGTTAAATCTTTAAAGAAGAAGAGGGTCTTGATAGGACTGAGTGTGTATGGAAGGCTGCGAGCTCCTGGATCCCTGAAGGAGACAGAGGCCTGTAGCCTCCTCCGCCTTCCGGAGCTAGGGTCATGGGTCTGAGTGGGGAGGGCCTGGGGCCTGGTCTCCTGGATCTGAGGGAGGAGGGAGGTGGGGTCTGGTCTCCTGGATCTGAGGGAGGAGGGAAGTGGGGTCTGGACTCCTGGATCTGAGGGAGGAGGGAGGTGGGGTCTGGTCTCCTGGGTCTGAGGGAGGAGGGACTGGGGCCTGATCTCCTGGGTCTGAGGGAGGAAGGGGTGGGGTCTGGACTCCTGGGTCTGAGGGAGGAGGGGCTGGGCCTGCACTTCTCGGTCTGAGGGAGGAGGGGCTGGGGTCCTGGACTCCTGGATCTGGGGGCAGTGGGCACTGGGGACCTGGACTCGTAGGTCCTGACTCCCAGCCTCCTCCTCAGGAGCGCCTGGACCATGCTGCTGAGCGCCTACTGGCACGGCCTCCACCCGGGCTACTACCTGAGCTTCCTGACCATCCCGCTGTGCCTGGCTGCCGAGGGCCGGCTGGAGTCAGCCCTGCGGGGGCGGCTGAGCCCAGGGGGCCAGAAGGCCTGGGACTGGGTGCACTGGTTCCTGAAGATGCGCGCCTATGACTACATGTGCATGGGCTTCGTGCTGCTCTCCTTGGCCGACACCCTTCGGTACTGGGCCTCCATCTACTTCTGTATCCACTTCCTGGCCCTGGCAGCCCTGGGGCTGGGGCTGGCTTTAGGTGGGGGCAGCCCCAGCCGGCGGAAGGCAGCATCCCAGCCCACCAGCCTTGCCCCAGAGAAGCTCCGGGAGGAGTAAGCTGTCACGACGCTCCCTCTGCCAGCTGGTCCCGGGAATTCTGTGAACCAGGCTGCTGTCTCCTCCCCAGAAAGAGTCCTTACCTTGGAGAGGGTCCTGGAGAGAATTTCCTCTTCCCCAGCTAAATACCCTGCCTGCAACTGAAGCAGACCCGGGGGTGTCCTCCCTGCCCTCTGCCCAGAGGCCACCTCCACTCCTACAAAATCAAAGTATTGTCCAGACAAGAGTCACTGGCCCCTGCTCCAGCTTCTGGGTATCCAGAGAGCACTGCACTTCCCCAAAACGGAAGGGGCCCCTGGGCAGTGGGTTTTGGGCAAATTCCCTTTCTTTGCATCCACAATGTGGGGTCGGAGCTTGGGGGCAGGTCCTGGGAGTGGGAAGCCTCTTCCTTGTGTCTTTCGCTCCACTTTTAGCTCATCGCACCAATATTGCAGACTTGGAAGGAAGCATAAGCTTCCCATTTCACAAAGGGGAAACTGAGGTGCGGGTGCGCGGGCCTGGGGACGGCCGTCCCATGGCTTCCATCTGAGCCACCTCGGGACCCCAGCGCTCCTGGCGCCCTCTTCTCATCGCTTGGCCTATGACAGGTCACCGTGTGTAAATCTTTCCCAATAAAGTGTTGCACAAAGGCATCCTGTCCGTGCAGGTATCTGGGTGATAAACGGTGGGAAGGACTTAGTCCACCAAGTCCCAGGGTGAGGTACAGCCCCCCCGCCCAGCCCAGGAACCAAACTGTCAGGCCCGGGGCACCACGGGGACTTCAGCTCCCAGGAGACCTTTCGCATCAGCGGCCCTGAGAAACCACAGGAAGTGTACCTTACTCCCTCCGGGCCACCTGCTGGCCAGGTACACACCTGCCCCTGGCCCCTCCCTTACCTGGGGCAGTGTCTGCCTGGTGGCCACTAGAGACAGCCCAGCCTGGGCCATGGAAGAAAACCCGACCTTGGAATCAGAAGCCTGGGGCTCCTCTAGGGGGTGGCTGGCCCCCCGGGAGGCCAGAGGAGGTAGGGAATGCCAGGAGAAGCTCAGATCCATCCGACCTTCAGGCTAGGTGGGAGTCCTGCTGGAGGAGGAAAGGGGAGGCCTGGCCTCCTGAGTCTGAGGGCTAAAGAGAGAAGGTTCCACTTCCTGATATTATGGGGGAGAAGGGAACTGGAGGCTGGAACTCCAGGGTCTGAGGAGGAGGAGCCTGGAGAACCAGGCTAGTCTGGGAGGAGGGGAGGGCTAAGGGCTGGGAGTTTGGGTGTCTTGGGAATAGGAGAGGCTGGGTTCCCACACTCCTGAGCTAGAGGGAAAAGGAAGTTGAAGCCTGGACTCCACTGCCCTGGAGTAGGAGGGTTCCACGCTTGGGGATGGAGTTGAGGGCTGTGGACCCCTGGGTCCAGGGGAAGTAGAGGCTGGCACCCGGACTCCTGGGCCTGAGGGAGGAGGGGCTGGGAACCTGGTTTCCTGGTCTGAGGGAGGAGGGGCTGGGTGCCTGGATTCCTATGTCTGAGGGAGGAGGAGCCGGGGGCCTGGACTCCTGGGTCTGAGGGAGGAGGGGCCGGGGGCCTGTTCTCCTGGGTCTGAGGGAGGAGGAGCCGGGGGCCTGGACTCCTGGGTCTGAGGGAGGAGGGGCCGGGGGCCTGTTCTCCTGGGTCTGAGGGAGGAGGGGCCGGGGGCCTGTTCTCCTGGGTCTGAGGGAGGAGGAGCCGGGGGCCTGGACTCCTGGGTCTGAGGGAGGAGGAGCCGGGGGCCTGGACTCCTGGGTCTGAGGGAGGAGGAGCCGGGGGCCTGGACTCCTGGGTCTGAGGGAGGAGGGGCCGGGGACCTGGTTTCCTGGTCTGAGGGAGGAGGAATTAGGGCCCAGACTCCCGGGTCTTCCCAGCCCCCTGCTCCTCCCCAGGCCCATCGCTGTCTTCTGTGCTGAACGAGCTGCCCAGTGCTGCCACCCTTCGGTACCGAGACCCTGGGGTGCTGCCTTGGGGGGCGCTGGAGGAGGAGGAGGAGGATGGAGGAAGGAGCAGAAAGGCCTTCACAGAAGTCACCCAGACAGAGCTGCAGGACCCTCACCCTTCCCGGGAACTGCCCTGGCCCATGCAGGCCAGACGGGCACACAGGTGAGGCCCCACCTCCAGCTGGGACCCGCACAGCCCGGACCGGGCCCTTCTCCCATACCCTGGACTCGGTCTCCTCCCTCTGTCCTCTGCCGCTCCTGGCTTCTGGGGCCTCTCTCTGCCCCGCTCAGAGCTGCCTCTCTTGGTTTCTTTCTTCCCCTCATCTTTGTCTCTACTTCGGACTCCAGGTGAGTGCTGCCTTTCGATGGCTCTGGGGTCTCTTCTCTCTGGGATTTGCCGTCTCCCTGGTCTCCACCAATCCTGTCTCTGCCTCAGTTTCTCTCTGTGTGTGTGTCCAAAATCTGTTAATATTTATTTCTCTCTGCTTTATACCTTCCTTCATCTTTGCCTCCTCTTCCAAGCCTCCCTCTCTTTAACTTCTTTCTTTTCCCATTCTCACTGCATAATTTGCAGGGCCTGGTGAACAATGAAAATGCAGGTGCCCTCCTTCAAAAATGATTATGGGCCCATTGCAGTGGCTCACACCTGTAATCCCAGCACTTTGGGAGGCCCAGGCGAGTGGATCACCTGTGGTCAGGAGTTCAAGACCAGCCTGGCCAACATGGCAAAACCCCAACTCTACTAAAAATACAAACATTAGCTGGGTGTGGTGGCGGGTGCCTGTAATCCCAGCTACTCGGGAGGCTGAAGCAGGAGAATCGCTTGAACCAGGGAGATAGAGGTTGCAGTGAGCCAAGATCGTGCCATTGGACTCCGGCCTGGGTGATAGAGCGGGACTCCATCTCAAATATATATATACGCGTATATACGCGTATATATATACGCATATATGCGTATATATATGCATATGTGTGTATATATATACACATATATATGTATATATATGTGTATATATATGGAAAAAACAATAAAAAATAACAATGTATCAACACTCCCACGCCGATCAGTAGTGGGATCATGCCTGTGAATATAGCCACTATACTGCGGCCTGAGTAACATAGCGAGACCCCCATCTCTATTTTTTAAAAGTAATAATCAAAGTAACAATATGACAAAAAATAATACAAGTTAAAAGAACAGCTATCTATATAACATTTACCTTGTACCGGGTGTTATAAGTAATCTAGAGGTGATTTAAAGTGCATTGGAGGGCTGGGTGTCGTGGCCCATACCTGTAGCCCCAGCGCTTTGGGAGGCTGAGGCGGGAGAATTGCTTGAGCCTGGAAGTTTGAGGCTGCATTGAGCTATGATTGCACCACCGCACTCCAGCCTGGACAACAAAACGAGACATTTGTCTGTAAAAATCAGATAAAAATTAAAATAAAATAAAACAAACACAGGAGGATGTGTGTAGCCTGTATGCAAATACTATACCGTTTTATATAAGGAATTTGGGCATCTACAGATTTCAGTATTCTTGGGGAGTCCTTGAACCAACCCCCATGGATACTGAGGGATGGCTGTATTCATAAAGTGAGAGCCCAGATAAACTCCAGCTAGGGCAAGTGACACGGCATGACAGCACCCTGTGCGTCCCTCCCCTGACACCCCCTTTTTCCTCACAAATACAAGGTAACCTCTTCTCCCTAACCTTTTTTTTTTTTTTTTTGACAGAGTCTTGCTCTGATGCCCAGGCTGGAGTGCAGTGGTGCAGTCTCAGCTCACTGCAGCCTCCGACACCTGGGCTCAAGCGATCCTCCCACTCCAGCCTCCTGCTTTTCTGTAGAGCTTTGCAAGCTGTGCTCTGCAACGTTGTGCAAATAGAATCATACAGTCTTCAGTCTTTTGTGCTGGCTTCTTCTGCCTAGCATTAGGTTTCTTTCTTTTCTTTCTTTCTTTCCTTTCTTGGAATCTCACTCCGTCACCCAGGCTGGAATGCAATGGCGCCATCTCAGCTCACTGCAACCTCCACCTCCCAGGTTCAAGCAATTTTCCTGCCTCAGCCTCTCGTGTAGCTGGGATTACAGGCACCCGCCACCAGGCCCAGCTAATTTTTTTTTTTTTTTGGTATTTTTAGTAGAGACAGGATTTCACCATGTTGGTCAGGCTGGTCTCGAACTCCTGACCTCAGGTGATTCACCCACCTCGGCCTCCCAAAGTGCTGGGATTACAGGCCTGAGCCACTGTACCCAGCTGGTTTCTTTTTTATTGCTACAGAGTATTCTATCTTATGTATAGGCCACAATTTACTTCTCCATTCTACTGTTGGATTGTGTCTACATTCAGATGGTTCCCAGTCTGGGGCTGCGAAACCCCTCATTTTCTGCCTGTTTCCCTCCCAGGCAAAGAAATGCCAGCAGGGACCAGGTGGTCTATGGCTCTGGAACTAAGACGGACCGATGGGCGCGGCTACTTCGGAGGTCCAAGGAGAAAACAAAGGAAGGCTTGCGAAGCCTGCAGCCCTGGGCGTGGACACTGAAGAGGATCGGGGGTGCGGTGGGGTTTGGGTGGTGTCCTGGGGGCAGGGCCTGGACTCCTGGGTCTGAGGGAGGAGGGGCTGGGGACGGACTCCTGGGTTTGAGGGAGGAGGGGCTTGGGCCTGGATTTTTGGGTCTGAGGGAGGAGGGGCTGGGGGTCTGGACTCTTGGGTCTGAGAAAGGCACGGCTGGGCCTGGCGCGGTGGCTCACGCCTGTAATCCCAACAGTTTGGGAGGCCGAGGTGGGTGGATCACCTGAGGTCAAGAATTCGAGACCAGCCTGACCAACATGGTGAAACCCCCGTCTCTACCAAAAATACAAAAACTAGCTGAGCATGGTGGCGCACGCCTGTAATCCCAGCTACTCGTGAGGCTGAGACAGGAGAATTGCTTGAACCCAGGAGGCGGAGGTTGCAGTGAGCCGAGATCGCGCCACTGCACTCCATGCTGGGCGGCAGAGCGAAACTCCGTCTCAAAAAAAAAAAAAGAAAAGAAAAGAAAAGAAAAATATATATATATATATATAGAGAGAGAGAGAGAGAGAAAGAAAGGAAGGAAGGAAGGAAGGAAGGAAGGAAGGAAGGAAGGAAGGAAGGAAGGAAGGAAAGAAAAGAAAGAAAGGAAGAAAGAAAGAAAGAAAGAAAGAAAAGAAAGAAAGAAAGAAAGAAAGAAAGAAAGAAAGAAAGAAAGAAAGAAAGAAAGAAAGAAAGAAAAAGAAAGAAAGAAAAGAAAGAAAGAAAGAAAAGAAAGAAAAGAAAGAAAGAAAGGAAGGCGCGGCTGGACCCCAGTCCAGGGGTAGGAGGGGCTGGTCCTGCTCCCGGGAAGGAACCTGAGCCTCTCTCTGCTGCCCCCTGCAGGCCAGTTTGGCGCCGGCACGGAGTCCTACTTCTCCCTGCTGCGCTTCCTGCTCCTTCTTAACGTGCTGGCCTCTGTGCTCATGGCCTGCATGACGCTGCTGCCCACCTGGTTGGGAGGCGCTCCCCCAGGCCCTCCCGGCCCCGACATCTCCTCGCCCTGCGGCTCCTATAACCCCCACTCCCAGGGCCTGGTCACCTTTGCCACCCAGCTCTTCAACTTGCTCTCGGGTGAGGTAGGTGCCTGGGTCCCTGGGGGATTCCCCGCCCACCTGTGACCCCAGTGCCTTCAATGACACGAACCTCAAACCCTGACCCCAGACCCTGACTGTGCAGCTCCAGGAGCCCCGCCTCCTCCCACAGTGGCCCCTGCGCCGCCTTCCCCCCACAGGGTTACCTGGAATGGTCCCCTCTCTTCTATGGCTTCTACCCGCCCCGCCCACGCCTGGCGGTCACCTACCTGTGCTGGGCCTTTGCCGTTGGCCTCATCTGCCTCCTGCTCATCCTGCATCGGTCAGTGGCACCTGCACCCCTGACCCCTGACGGGACGGGTTGGGGTGGGGGAGCAAGTGGTGGTGGCAGAAACCCCCTCCCCAAGAATCCTCAGTCTTTTTTTTTTTGAGACGGAGTTTTGCTCTTATTGCCCAGGCTAGAGTGTAGTGGCGCAATCTCGGCTCACTGCAACCTCCGCCTTCCGGTTTCAAGCGATTCTCCTGCCTCAGCCTCCCAAGTTGCTGGGATTACAGGCGCCCGCCACCACGCCCAGCTAACTTTTTTGTATTTTTAGTAGAGATGGGGTTTCACCATGTTGGTCAGGCTGGTCTTGAACTGCTGACCTCGTGATCCACCCGCCTCGGCCTCCCACAGTGCTGGGATTACAGGCGTGAGCCACCGCGCCCGGCCCCAGAATCCTCGGTCTTGCTGTGTAACCCTTTATTCTGTGTGAGTTAAAATCAAGGTTTTGGGCCAGGAGCGGTGGCCCAGGAGGCGGAGCTTGCAGTGAGCCGAGTTTGCGCCACTGCACTCCAGCCTGGGCGACAGAGCGAAACTCCATCTAAAAAAAAAAAAAAGATCAAGGTTTTGGGATTTGTTTTTGTTTTTCATTTGTTTTGTTTGTTTGTTTTTGAGACAGAGTCTTACTCTGTCGCCCAGGCTGGAGTGCAATGGCACGATCTTGGCTCACTGCAACCTCCACCTCCCGGGTTCAAGCGATTCTACTGCCTCACCCTCCCAAGTAGCTGGGTTTACAGGCTCCGGCCACCACGCCCAGCTAATTTTTTGTATTTTTAGTAGAGACGGGGTATCGCCATGTTGGCCAGGCTGGTCTCGAACTCCTGATCTCAGGTGATCCACCTGCCTCGGCCTCCCAAAGTGCTGGGATTACAGGTGTGAGCCACCGCACCCAGTCTGTTTTGTTTTTTGAGACAGGGTCTCACTCTGTCACCCGGCTAGCGTGCGGTGGTGCAATCATAGCTCACCGGAAGCCTGGGCCTCCGGAACTCAACTGATCCGCCTACCTCAGCCTCGGGAGCAGCTGGGACCACAGGGGTGCACCACCATGTCTTGCTAAAATTTTTTTTTTAATGTTATAGAGACAGGGTCTTGCTATGTTGCCCAGGCTGCGCTCAAACTCCTAGGCTCAAGAGATCTGCTCACCTCAGCCTCCCAAGGTGCTGGAATTACAGGCATGAGCCAATGTGCCTGGCCAAAAGTCAACTTTTTTTTTTTTTGAGACGGAGTCTCGCTCTGTCACCCAGGCTAGAGTGCAGTGGTGCGATCTCAGCTCACTGCAACCTCCGCCGCCCGGGTTCAAGCAATTTTCCTGCCTCAACCTCCCAAGTAGCTGGGATTACAGGCATGTGCCACCATGCCCGGCTAATTTTGTATTTTTAGTAGAAATGGGGTTTCACCATGTTTGTCAGGCTGGTCTCGAACTCCTGACCTCAGGTGATGCACCCGCCTCGGTCTCCCAAAGTGCTGGGATTACAGGCGTGAGCCACCACGCCCGGCAAAGAGCCTCGATTTTAAGAGAAGGGAAAAGCCCTGGAATAGGTCTTAAACAGGGGAATACGGTCTGAGTTGCATCAAAAGAAGGTCCCACTGGCTCAAGAACTGAGAATGGATTATATGCGGGCACAAGTGGAAGCAAGGAGACCATGTGAGGGCCCTCTGTGGTTGTTCACATGAGAGATGATGGGGGCCGGGGCCAGGGCAGTGAAGGTGCACATGGTCTCTTTGTCCAGTTCTGTTTCTGCCCCTGCTGGGGTTCTCTATCTCCTTCCTGGGTCTTTGCCCCCCTCTCTTGAGTCTCTTTACCTGCCCGTCTTCTCTGGGTCTTTTTTTTTTTTTTTTGGAGGCGACCTCCACCTCCTGGGTTCAAGTGATCCTCCCACCTCAGCCTCCCAAGTAGTTGGGATTACAGGCATGCACCACCACGCCTGGCTAATTTTTGTATTTTTAGTAGAGACGGGGTTTCACCACATTGGCCAGGCTGGTCTCAAACTCCTGACCTCAGGTGATCCTCCCCCCTCGGCCTCCCAAAGTGCTGGGATTACAGGCGTGAGCCATGGCGCCTGGCCTGCCCCCTCTCTTGAGTCTTTACCTGCCATCTTCTCTGGGTCTCTGTCTTCTTCTCGGCTCTTCCCGCCGCAGCTCCCTTCTCTGTGTGCCTGTACTTCTTATGGGTCTTTGACCCCCATCTTTTGTAGATGTAGTTTCCCCTTTCTCACTGTCTTTTTCTCCCTTTCTCCGAATCTCCCTCTGGGGCCTCTGTCCCTCCTCCACATCTCTGTCTTCCTCAGGGCCTCTGTTTCTCTCACTCTGGGTTTCTGCCCCCTTCGCTCCGAGGCTCTGTCCCTGTCTCCTAGGTTTCTGCCTCTCTTTGGGGTGCCTGCACCCCAGAACTGTCTCTGAATCTCCCTTGGACTTTGCCTTCAATGACTGTGTCTCCGCCTCTTTGACTCTTTCCCCATCTGGTCTGGTGGGAACTCGCCTAGTACCCAAGGCCTTAGGGTTCATCTTCCCCATTTGTCCCAATATGAGGGGTCTCCCCATAACCCCCGTTCCTGGCTGTCCTTTCACTTCCCGTCTCCCGGGTCTCCCCTCTCAGCTCGGTGTCTGGGCTGAAGCAGACACTGCTGGCGGAGTCCGAGGCTCTGACCAGCTACAGCCACCGGGTGTTCTCGGCCTGGGACTTCGGTCTCTGCGGGGACGTCCACGTGCGGCTGCGCCAGCGCATCATCTTGTACGAATTAAAGGTGCGATTAGGGAGCGGGGTCTGCAACTGGGTAGGGACCAGACAGGACCGGGCTGAGATAACGCACAGGGCCTAACTCGGTGATGGGGCCTCCGGAGAGATGCTAAGCAGCTCCTTCTCCAAGAAAGGCAGGTCCTGGGGAATGAGAAGGTTGAGAGGAGGCCGAGATAGGGCTGCCCGAGCTCCAAGCGTGTAGGAAAAGGATGCGCCAGGGCTGGGATCGGTGGCTAATGCTTGTAACCCCAGCACTTTGGGAGACCGAGACAGGTGGATCGCTTCAGTCTAGGAGTTCGAGACCAGCCTGGGCAACATAGGGAGGCTCCCTCTCTACCAAAAAAAAAAAAAAAAAGTTTGTTTTTTTTTAAGTAAGCACAAGAAGCGGGCGGGGCCTAAGGCAATTTGGTTCAAAGTTAAGTGATGGGAGCGGCCAGCAGGGCGTCTTGATACAGCTGAACTGGAACTTCAGGCCAGGAATAAAGCGCAGGGCCACCTGGGGGCGGAGCCTCTGATGGGCAGGGCTGACCAGGGGCGGGTCTTGGGATGCTGGGCGGAGCCTCAGGGGCGGGGCCTGGGGTGCTGAGATTGACCGCGGAGGGATGGGGGCTTGGGTTGCTGGATCCGGCCGCGAAGGGGCGGGGCTGTAAAGGGCCGCTGGTTTCCTGGAGCGGGTGGAACCAGGACTGCAGAGGTTGTTAGCGGGTGGGGAGACGGCTGCATCAGTTCACGTTAAGGAGGATCTCTGGAGAGCCAGACCTGGGGAACCGGGAGGCCCGCGCCTTGGGAAATGGAGTCCAAGCGGGCATCTCTCCTGCCTTCAGGTGGAGCTGGAGGAGACAGTGGTGCGGCGCCAGGCTGCGGTGCGGACGCTGGGCCAGCAAGCCAGGGTTTGGTTGGTGCGGGTGCTGCTCAACCTGCTGGTGGTCGCGCTCCTGGGGGCAGCCTTCTATGGCGTCTACTGGGCTACGGGGTGCACCGTGGAGCTGCAGGTGCGGACGGTCTTGGAAGAGGAAGCCAGGGGGTCCTGGAACCTACATTTCCAACGGTGGAGGGAGGGGACGGAAGTTTGGGATGCCAGAGATCTTAGAGAGGAAGTATGGGAGAGGGTATGTTCGGACCCTGGACTTAGGGATTTTAAAGGAAAAAGAGAGGCTGGGCGCGGTGGCTTACACCTGTAATCCCAGCACTTTGGGAGGCTGAGGCGGGCGGATCACGATGTCAGGAGTTCCAGACCAGCCTGACCAACATGGTGAAAAACAGTCTCTACTAAAAATACAAAAATTAGACGGGCGTGGTGGTGGGCGCCTGTAATCCCAGCTACTCAGGAGGCTGAGGCAGGAGAATCACTTGAACCCGGGAGGCAGAGGTTGCAGCGAGCCGAGATCGCACCGCTGCATTCTAGGCTGGGCAACAGAGCGAGACTCTGTCTCAAAAAAAAAAAAAAAAAGAAGAAGAAGAAGAAGAGGCCGGGGGGAGGACCTTAAGCTTGGCTCCTCCAGGACCCCAAGCCTCTACTCATGGTCCATCCCGCTCCCAGGAGATGCCCCTTGTCCAGGAGTTGCCACTGCTGAAGCTTGGGGTGAATTACCTTCCGTCCATCTTCATCGCTGGGGTCAATTTTGTGCTGCCGCCCGTGTTCAAGCTCATTGCTCCACTGGAGGGCTACACTCGGAGTCGCCAGATCGTTTTTATCCTGCTCAGGTTCCAGCCTCACGGGGATGGCTGGGAATGATGAAGGGTGGGGGCGGTCAGAGGGATGTTGGCGCTGACAGGTAAGACACGGAAATCCTGCTGATACCGAATCCAGGGATTCAAATCCTGACTCTGTTGGCCAGGTGCAGTGGCTCACACCTGTAATCCCAGCACTTTGGGAGGCCGAGGCTGAGGTCAGGAGTTCGAGACCAGCCTGACAAACATGATGAAACCCCGTCTGTAGTAAAAATACGAATATTAGCCCGGCGGTAGTGGCTTCTGTAGTCCCAGCTACTCGGGAGGCTGAGGCAGGAGAATGGCTCGAGCCTGGGAGGTGGAGGTTGCAGTGAGCTGAGATCGCGCCACTGCACTCCAGTCCGGGTGACAGAGTGAGACCCTGTCTCAAAAAAAAAAAAAAAAAAAGAAAGAAAGAAAGAAAGAAATCCTGATTCTGTCACTGGGCCTCAGCTTCATCTGTGAGATGGGTTGAATGCGGGCGCGTTCCACTGAGAAGGGAACTGCCACATGGTGGGTACCGGGTCAGGGCCCATTCTCTGCCTTCCCCCCTTCAGGACCGTGTTTCTTCGCCTCGCCTCCCTGGTGGTCCTGCTCTTCTCTCTCTGGAATCAGATCACTTGTGGGGGCGACTCCGAGGCTGAGGACTGCAAAACCTGTGGCTACAATTACAAACAACTTCCGGTGAGAACGGCATGGGTGTGCGTGGGACTCTTGGGTCCCTGAAGGAAAGATGGAGCTGGGTGGGTCCAGACTCTTGGTTTGGGCGGAGAGGGGAGCTTGGGGTGCTGGAACACTCTCCCAAGGGTATGAAAGTTTGAAAAACGAGGACCCCCAGAGAAAGTATTGACAGGGTCTCATAGGCTTGCGATGTGGAGACTCGGACGCGTGGGCCTCCAGGTGCCCGGGTCCCGAGTTCTTTCTGATATATTTCTTCCTTCTTCAGTGCTGGGAGACTGTCCTGGGCCAGGAAATGTACAAACTTCTGCTCTTTGATCTGCTGACTGTCTTGGCAGTCGCGCTGCTCATCCAGTTTCCTAGAAAGTGAGAGCCCCGCCCCTTGCTGTGGCCCCGCCCCTCTAGGACGAGGCCGTGCCCCATCGCGCTGTTCTTTTCACCGCGCACCTTTTTACCATTCCCGCCTCTGCCTGCTCCCTTTGCTTGCCCTAGGTCCGCAGATCTCCCCGCTCCCCGCCCTTGTTTTAGTGGGTTACTTCCCTCTGGCCCCGACGGCGGCGACATCTGGGTCCCTTCTAGTCCTCAGGACCCGCCCTCTGGACACACCCCCTCCACGTGGAGTCCTGAAAGTCCCGCCCCCCCCCCCCCAACCAATACGCATGCTTCCTATTGGCGGGCGGGGCGGTGGAGGCGGGGAAACTCCAGGCCGCCACTCCCCTGACTCCGGCCCGGCCCCGCCCCGTCCTTCAGGCTCCTCTGTGGCCTCTGTCCTGGGGCGCTGGGTCGTCTGGCGGGGACCCAGGAGTTCCAGGTGCCCGACGAGGTGCTGGGGCTCATCTACGCGCAGACGGTGGTCTGGGTGGGGAGTTTTTTCTGCCCTTTACTGCCCCTGCTTAACACGGTCAAGTTCCTGCTGCTTTTCTACCTGAAGAAGGTAAGGGGTAGGGGGGACCCTTGGGTCTGAGGCAGGAGGTATTGGGGCCCGCACTCCTGGGTCAAGGGCAAGGAAGATCCTGGGGGCCTGGATTACTCGGTCCTGAGAGAGGAGGGGGTTGGAGGACAGACTACTGCATCTGAGAGGAGGGGTCTAGGGCATTCTGACTTATATGTCTGAGGATCTGGGGACTCAGACTCCGGGGTCCTAGATGAGGAAGGGGCTCAGACTCCTGGTTCGGAAAAAAGGAGAGGCAGGTAGGCCGGGTGCAGTGGCTCACGCCTGTAATCCCAGCACTTCGGGAGACTAAGGCGGGTGGATCACCTGAGGTCAGGAGTTTGAGACCAGCCTGGCTAACATGGCAAAACCCCGTCTCTACTAAAAATACAAAAAAAATTAGCCGGGCTTAGTGGCAGGCGCCTGTAATCCCAGCTACTCAGGAGGCTGAGGCAGGGGAATTGCTTGAACCAGGGAGGTGAAGGTCGAAGTGAGCCAAGATCGTGCCACTGCACTCCAGCCTGGGCGACAGAGCGAGACTCCGTCTCAAAAAGAGAAAACAAACAAACAACAACAACAGCAAAACAAATTAGCCGGGAGTGGTGGTGCACACCTGTAATCCCAGCTACTCGGGAGGCTGAGACACGAGAATAGCTTGAACCCGGGAGGGGAGGCTGCAGTGAGAGCCACTGCACTCCAGCCTGGGCGACAGAGCGAGACTCTGTCTCAAAAAAAAAAGCCTGGGCGACAGAGCGAGACTCTGTCTCAAAAAAAAAAAAAAAAAAAATGGAGGCACAGACTCTTGTGTTTCAGAGCCCTTTTCTCCGTGCCTTCCCCCACCAGCTTACCCTCTTCTCCACCTGCTCCCCGGCTGCCCGCACCTTCCGGGCCTCCGCGGCGAATTTCTTTTTCCCCTTGGTCCTTCTCCTGGGTCTGGCCATCTCCAGCGTTCCCCTGCTTTACAGCATCTTCCTGTAAGTGCGAGAGGCTCCCGCCTCTCTCCCTCCCTCTCTCCCCATTCAGTGTTCAGACTCCTGGCACTATGTGAGCCCAGCCTGTCTTGACTTCAGGATCCCGCCTTCTAAGCTTTGTGGTCCATTCCGGGGGCAGTCGTCCATCTGGGCCCAGATCCCTGAGTCTATTTCCAGCCTCCCTGAGACCACCCAGAATTTCCTCTTCTTCCTGGGGACCCAGGCTTTTGCTGTGCCCCTTCTGCTGATCTCCAGGTGAGACGGCCCAGACTTCTGGGTCTGGGTTTGAATGCGTGTGATCTGGGGGCCACCACCTGCGTCCAAGAGAGGAGAGGCTTGGGCGTGGGAGCAGGCAACGTACTGAGTCTGAGGGAGGAGGCCTAGGCTCCTGGACTGCTGGGTCCGAAGGAGGAGGTGGGCGGGACGTAGGACTCCTGGATCTGAAGGCGGAGGGGCTGGGAGACTGAACTCCTTGAGCCCAGACGAGGAGGGGCTTAGGCGTCCACATCCCTGGCTTCGAAGGAGCCAGACGTTTGGATATAATGGAAGAGCGTGTCAGGAGTGGCTTCCGTTCCTGTCTCCTTCAGCATCCTGATGGCGTACACTGTGGCTCTGGCTAACTCCTACGGACGCCTCATCTCTGAGCTCAAACGTCAGAGACAGACGGTGAGCCAGGCGGGTCCCTGAGAGGGCCCCTGGGGAACATGGAAAGGGGTTGGGGAAGAGGATTGTCTCACCTCCACCTCTCTTTGCCCCAGGAGGCGCAGAATAAAGTCTTCCTGGCACGGCGCGCTGTGGCGCTGACCTCCACCAAACCGGCTCTTTGACCCCCGCAGCCCACGTCCCGCTTTCAGACCCCAGGCCCATTGTAAGCCTAGGTCACAACATCTGTAAACTAGGAGAACTGGAGAAGACTCCACGCCCTTCCAGCTTTGGTATCTGGAGATTTCCAGGGCCCCTCGCCGCCACGTCCCTGACTCTCGGGTGATCTTCCTTGTATCAATAAATACAGCCGAGGTTGCTGAGCGCGCTTTGAAATCTGCGTCCTGAAGGTGGGGGCAGGGCTACAGCGGGGCAGGAGCCAATCAAATGTACGGGCATGTTTGTCGGTGCAGAGCGCTCTTCCGCAAGGAGACTTGTCGGTCATGTCGGCCAATCGACGGCCGCATCTGGTAGCATCAGGGGCGGGCCAACTTATGATTGGTTCAGATCTGTGACAAGAGGCGGTTGCTAGGGGATACCACGAGCCGAACGCCTAGCATTCGCTGTGATAAAGGGCGTCTCAGCCAATCACCTGTCGCTACAGGCCAGGGGGCCGTACCAACTAATTCGGAACCAATCCGCGGTCGAAGTAGGGACAAGAAAAAGGGGGGCATCCTCTCGCCAATCGGAAGTGCAAAGAGGCGGGCGTGCCAGTCCCTGGACAGCTACGACGCCATGAATATCTTGCCCAAGAAGAGCTGGCACGTCCGGAACAAGGACAATGTCGCCCGCGTGCGGCGTGACGAGGCCCAGGCCCGGGAGGAGGAGAAGGAGCGTGAGCGGAGGGTGCTGCTGGCTCAGCAAGAGGTAAGCTCGGAAGCCGGCAGGGCGGCGCTCCGGGGCCCAGCGCGCAGGCGCCGCGGTTGGGGGCCGGAAGCGGAGGCGTTGCGCAGGCTCAATGTGCCCCGTGTGAAATTCGGGACCAGGCGCCGATCCCACTTTCGAGGACGTTGCCCCGCAAACCTTGTGCCCACTTCCACGAAACCTTCCTTGATCTCGCCCTCGTCTTAGTTTTTCCCCCACTGATGTATTTCACATGGCTGGAACAGTGTCTAGCACAAAAGAGAAGCTTAACATTTAATGAATCCGTGAACCCTTGGACAGTTCAAGGAAATTCGGATCACTTTTTAGTTTGCCTGCACAGCCTATTTATTGAGCATCTACTGTATGCTAACTACATGCCGTGCACCTGACTTGCGGAATCCCCAATAAGCACTGTTCGTTCTTAGAGGGGCACTGTCATCTCTGTTGCACGAAGTGAGATGGCTTCAGTGAGGGGAAGGCACATTTTAAGGAGAGGCGGACAGCCAGGCTCCACGCCATCGGGCGAGCCCTTTCGTGCACCGCCCCCTAGACACATACACACAAACACGGGCTTTCCGTATGGCTCTTTAAATCTGTTTGGTGTACACCCAACTTTCATTTCCTTAGCTAGTCTGATCCTCCGCCGTGGGTGGGAGGTAGTCTAGGTTTTTAGAATCTCAGTAGGCTGCTGAGCGCTGTTTGAAATCCGCGTCCTGAAGGCAGGGGACAGGGCTTCAGCAGACTTGGGGTAGTCACTTGGAGCCATGGCTAGAATTCAGATCGTCTGGCCTAATGCATACCTTTATGGCTGTTTTAATTGTCTCACTTGAGGTTAGGAACCCCTTTGGTTTAGGCCAGGGACCTCCTCCCATACATCCTTGATGACCCGTGGTTTACTATTTGAAAGGGAGTTTACAAAACCCAGGCGTTGCCTCATCTGCCTACCCTCACCCCCAGCTAGGACAGGTGCCTCTTTTAGGCGCCTAGTGCTCCCTTTCTCATAACCCCAGCACCCTGGACTGCCATTTTCTGTGGTGGGCACCAGACTCACAGTTCTTGAATTACCTCTAGGTTCTGAATGTCCTGCCTATAACTTTCTCCCCAGGCCCGTACAGAATTCCTACGGAAGAAAGCCAGACATCAGAACTCACTGCCTGAGCTTGAAGCAGCAGAGGCGGGAGCCCCAGGTTCTGGCCCTGTGGACCTGTTTCGGGAGCTGCTGGAGGAAGGGAAAGGAGTGATCAGAGGCAATAAAGAGTACGAGGAAGAAAAGCGACAGGAGAAAGTAAGCTGGCCTCACCCACTTCATCAGAGGGGCCATGAATCGAGTTGGAGGGAGGGGGCACTTTAGCCATTGGTTGTGACCAAGGTCAAACAAGAGTGAACACACAGAATTTAGGACCATACCAAGGCATGACACTCAAAAAGCGTTGGCTATTGCCGTCTGGGCGCCCACAGGGGTTGGAGGTAGATGCTAGAGGTCCCCAGCTGCTGGGCAAACCGCTCAGTTCTCCAAACTGGAGGAGTCTCAAACCTGATGGGCTTTTAAAAATTTAAATCAGCCGGCTGTGGCTCACGCCTGTAATCCCACCACCTTGGGAGGCTGAGGCGGGTGGATCACCTGAGGTCAGGAGTTCAAGACCAGCCTGGTCAACATGGTATCTCTAAAAATACAAAAAAAATTAGCCGGGCATGGTGGTGCGCGCCTGTAATCCCAGGGAAGCTGAAGCAGGAGAATCGCTTGACCCAGGAGGTGGAAGCTGCAGTAAGCCGAGATTGCGCCACTGCACTCCAGCCTGGGTGACAGAGCGAGACCCCATCTCAAAACAATCAAACAAAAAGTGAATCAATCGCCTCTTGCTTTTTGGCTAAGATCAAGTGTAAAAGGTACATCAGTGGCTGTGCATGGTGGCTCACGCCTGTAATCCCAGCACTTTGGGAGGCCAACGTGGGTGGATCACCTGAGGTCAGAAGTTCAAGACCAGCCTGGCCAAACATGGCAAAACCCCGTCTCTACTAAAAATACAAAAATTAGCTGGGCATGGTGGTGTGTGCCTGTAATCCCAGCTACTCGGGGGGCTGAGGTAGGAGGATTGCTTGAACCTGGGAAGCAGAGGTTGCAGTGAGCCGAGATCGTGCCACTGCACTCGAGTCTGGGCAACAGAGCGAGACTCCATCTCAAAAAAAAGAGGTACATCAGCTCTTGTCATTTATCTGCTGTCTCTGGACTTGCTGACCCCACCCATCGCTCCTCTGCTTTGCTTGATCCCTTCAGGCTTCTCTTCAAGTCTCTCTGCAAAGATGCCTGCCTCTGAACACTCAAGTGGCTCCACTTGTCCCCTCCTTCCCCTGCTGTTACTGTACCTGCTACTGTCCCCCCAGGGGGAGCTTTGCCTCTGTTTGTCTTCCATCCCCAGCACCTGGTCCAACTGGTTCATAACAAGCCTTAGATACCTGTTCGCTTAGATACCTGTGTCAGGGAGACACACCTGACACCTTGAAAGATTATATCACATCTCTTGTATTTCCTGGCCCCCTCAGGAGAGGCAAGAGAAAGCTCTGGGCATCCTGACATACCTGGGCCAGAGTGCAGCGGAGGCACAGACTCAACCCCCTTGGTACCAGCTACCCCCAGGGCGAGGGGGCCCCCCGCCCGGCCCAGCCCCAGATGAGAAGATCAAGAGCCGTCTGGACCCTCTGCGGGAGATGCAGAAGCATCTGGGGAAGAAGAGACAGCACGGCGGTGATGAAGGCAGTCGCAGCAGAAAGGAAAAGGAGGGGTCTGAGAAGCAGCGACCCAAGGAGTAAGAAGACCCCACCTCGGCAGACCAGGGCCCAGACCTTCAGGGCTTGGCAGCAGCCCAGCATGGGCACTGCAGCGTCTCTGGTCAGGACAGCCAGGGACTCCGTGAAGGGCTGGCTAGGTGGAGAAGTGGTTCTCAGCATGTGGTCCAGGGAGCCCTAGGGGTCCTGACACCCTTTCCCGGGGTGCTGTGGTGTCAAGCCTATTTTCCTGACACTGGTGGACTTTTCCACTCGTGTTCTCAGGCATGTAGTGCAGGTTTCCAGAGGCTGTGTGATGGGGAGACACCCTCACTCTGATGGCCAATGGCAGATGCTTGTGTCCAAACTTTCTTAGTTTTCACTAATGATTTGCAGCATATTAAGAGAACCCATTTAAACAAAAGCTCTTGGGGTCCTTGGTTTTTAAGAGTATAAAGGGGTCCTGAGACCAAAGAGTTTGAGAGCTGCTGGGTTAGAGAGTAAAAGCAGGCTTCTGTCTCCAGGATGCTGCACCCCTGGTCTAGAGGGGGTACACTGCCTGTAGTCTTCTTTCCTCTAGAAAGGGAAACTGAGGGCCAGGGGGCTGCTAAGTGTGCTTTCTTGACCTGGAGAAGCATCAGATTTTAAAGACTGGGGAGGACCAAAGCCCACAGAAGGGAAGGCCAGAGACGTGCCCATGGCGTCCCAGCACCAAGTGGCTGCTTCCAGCAGGCCTAAGGAGCTGAGGCTGGGGTGTGCTGGATGCAGCGGGGCTTCCAGGCGGCAGCTCCCTCTATGGGAGAGGTTGGGGGAATGGCCTCCTAGGGGCTACCAGCTTTCTGACCTCACTCCTCTCCCCACAGGCCTCCATCCCTGGACCAGCTTCGAGCTGAACGTCTGCGGAGGGAAGCAGCTGAGAGGTCTCGGGCAGAGGCCCTGCTGGCCCGGGTCCAAGGCCGGGCACTACAGGAGGGTCAGCCGGAAGAAGACGAGACGGATGACCGGCGGCGGCGGTACAACTCCCAATTCAACCCCCAGCTGGCCCGGCGCCCCCGCCAGCAGGACCCTCACCTTACTCACTGACTCCTGAGGGGGTACAGGAGAGGCCGCTGCTGCCAGCCGTCATATAAAACTATTTATTCATAAATATTTTCCAAAATGAAAATAGGTTTACCAAAAAATGTCCCTCACTGGGGAGGGGAGGAGGGGGCAGCCCTCGCCCCCGGGCCCCCAGGGTGGGGCTGAGAGGAAAACCTCCCGGCCCCCTCCCTGCTTCCTGGGAGAGGGGGATGCCCCGTGGCTTGGGGCCTCCCTCCAGTCTTCCAGGGCAGGGCCCTCACCTGGGCAGGGGGATCAGCATGCGGGGGAAGGGGGTGGGTAGAGGGAGGGGCCGGTGTCACTGGAGGTCCCGGTCCTCCAGGTAGCGGTACTCAAAGGTGAAGCCTTCCTTCTTCCGCTGGCCCCACTTCTCGTAGTCAAAGTAGATGTAGGTGCCCTGGCCGGGGGAGAAGGCGGTCAGTGAGTGGACGAGGAGGTGGTCTGGGATCTGGGCCGGACCAACAGACAAAGGGGACAATTCTTAGGGCTGTGGATGTGTCAGGCACCGGGCCAGCTGCCCTGCACGCACACACTCTCATCCATCCTCACAAGGTTCTTCTTGGGTAGGAAATGTTATCATGCCACTTCAGCGAGGAGGAAACGGAGGGGGCCGCAGAGGTTCCACCGAAGCCAGCTGCCAGAACGGGGCCCCAGCCCCAGGTGTGAGTGCACAGCCTTCGTTTCCTCGAGGGCTGTGGCTTTTGAGCACCTCTCACGTGAGTACAGGATGCACAGCCTAGCATTTAATCTTCACAAAGACCTCGAGGCAGTGGGTACTGTCACCCTTGTTCTAGAGAATGGAACAGTCTCAGAGTCTAAATCCAAGCACTCTGCAGGGACATTTTATTGGTGACGGAAGTGGTGTGGGAATTTCTGAATGACTGGATGCCCTGAAATGTACTAACTTGGAGGATGGTTTTGGGCCAAACCAGGAAAGGACAGGAAGTCTGTGGTTAACATCTGAGGACACAATGGGAGAGGACCTAGGTTCTAAATGAATGTCTTAAGTGCTTCAAAGATGGCAACCTGGGAGAACCAGGAGAGGGGACTGAGTTCTCTGAGGACAAGGACCTTGTACTACTTCATCCCCATGAAGGGGCTCGGCATCAGGGAAGTATTTGGTGGAAAAAAACATCACTGTAGAACACACCAACTGAAAGTAATTTGAAAAAAAAAATCCATGACACTGACTATGTAGCAGTCACCATTAAGTACTTACATGTTATTAACTCATTTAATCTTCATAACAACTGCATTAGGTAGGTGGTCTTCCCCCCATTTTTACAGATAAGTTAATTGAGACACAGAGGTTCGAGTGACTTGCCTAGAGTCGCCCAGCTGGACTGGGCTGAAACCCAGGTAGGTTGGTTCCAGAGTGTTTGCAAGCAGCAGGAATTTCCCAGTATTAGAACTTGAGAAGCCCATTCAAAAAAAATAGTTTCGGCACTGAGCCCCTGCCCTGCTGAGTGCTGGGACCTGGAGGTGAAGTGGGGGCCATCAAGGTCCCTCGGCAGCAGAGCCCACAGCCTGGTGCAGGGACACATACTGGGAAAATCCCACACCCCAAGCGAGTGTGCCCAGCACTGCAAAGGGGAGGCACTGGGCTGGGTGGCTCCAGGAAGGTTTCTTTGAGGAAGGGACATTTGGGCTGAGACCTACAGGAGGCCTAGGAGCTGGCCAAGTGGAGGATGAGAGGGCGGTGTTCCAGGCTGAGCAGACAGCCAGAGGGAGGAGTACTTGGTCAGGCTGAGGGACTGCGCCAGCTGAAAGGTGGAGGCAAGGGAGCAGAGGCCAGCAGGGGCTGCCTGGAGCCTGGGGACTCTACCCCAACCCTAGCAGCGGGAAGAGAGGGGGCGGGGCCCTCACCTGCTCAAACTCGTCAGTGATGGTCTTGGGCTCCTCGTGCCTCTGGAACCACATCATGTACTTGGTGTGGAATCGCCATGACTGCTTCTTTAGGGCCTTGGCTGCCAGATACTGTGCCTTAGTGCCCTGGGGGAGGAACAGTGGAGAGGGGGATCAGGGGGCCCCCAAACTGGGTGGGGAGCCAGGGGAATGGGGCAGGACATCAGGGCTGAACCCCGGCCCCCGCCACAGACCACAGTTGGGCTGGACAATCCTCTTGGAGATGGGGCTGGGGGCACAGAACATACCAATGCTGATCAGGAGAAGGAAAATGAGACAGGAGGTGAAAATTGCTTTCAGAGAAGCTTTGAGAAGGAAGAAAAACTAATGTGTGATGAGAGCTGAGAGAGGAGGCAATTTAGAAAATTTCCCAAGTGGGGATGAGGGTGGAGGTCACTCATGACTCACTGGGGTTGGGAGGGGGCTGGACAGCTCCCCAGTGGTCTCCAGGGAGGCCTGAGAATGTGCCGATGAGCAGAGTGGGGTCGGCCTAGACTGGGGCTGCTGGAGCAGGGCTGGGGAGGGGCCGCGGGTGAGCCAGTGGGCAACTGGAAGCGGGGCTGAGGTGTGCCTCAGTGGACCAGCCTCGCTGTCAACCCAAGCAGTTCTAACATCTCTGGGCTGGAAGGCGGGGACGGGGACAGGTGGATTTGGGGCAGGGGCCCAGGAGTGGGAATAGGGAGGGGGTGCGGTCCCAGTGGCCGCAGTGGGGCACCCACCTCACCCCTCCAGCCCGAGGGGGGACGGCGGCGGTGGCGGCGAAGCCGGGGGGCCCGAGGCTGCCCCGGGGGCCCTGCTGTACCTCCAGATAGTAGAAGATGAAGAAGAGTGTCTCGGTCGACAGGCGCTGGTAGAATTCCACAGTGTCCGAGTGTGGGGGTGGCATCTGGTGGTGGTAGGGGGGCGTCGGACAGGGGTTCCGGGGGAGGTACTGCCTGTGAGAGCAACAGGAAGGTCAGTGCCAGCTGCCTACTAGTCCTGTCGTGATCAAAAGGGTGCTCAGACATGCATCCCTGCGGGGGGAGGTGGTACAGAAAGACCCAGGGCGGTGCTGACCTTCAGTGGAGAGCCCAAGTCAGGGGCCTGGTGCTCTACCCACAGCCTCACAGGTTCAGCCACTGCCTCCTCCGTAAGACTCAAGTCCCAGACCATCCCCCTTCCCTGTGGCCCCTCACCGAATACGCTCAGAGTCAGAGGGGTGAGGCATGTGGTGCCAGGCGGCCTCTTCCATGGCCTGCTGATAGAGCTGCTCCTTGGTGAGGGGCACAGGGCCCAGTGGACAGACACCCAGCGACAGCGGTATGTTCACCTCTGACAGCTGCAGGGGCGGCTGGGCTGAGGCCGGAGGTGCTGATGTACTGCTCAGGATGATGTCTGTGGGGAGGGTGGGGGTCCGGCCCCCTCAGTGGTGAGGATGGGTCAGGGGCAGCCCCTCCTCTTTGGCCCGCTGCTTCCCCACCATCCTGGGTCCCTCACCTCGCTCGGTCAGGTGCAGCGTTGGCACAGGGTCCTCAATGCCAGAGCTGATGGCTGCCCGTTCCGCCATGGACTTCAAGGAGCTCAGAGGCTCAGGGGCCTGGGGAGGAAACAAGAGGCCTGGCCTGAGCACTTGGGCTGCAGGAGCAAGTGCAGCCTGACACAGGCCCCAGATGCTCTCACCTGCCCTGTTTGGGGGCCGTGGAGGGCCAACGACCCACTCCCCACAATCTACCCATGACAGGTAAAAGCATCAAACTGTAGGGAAACAATCGGAGACCACGACGCATTCATCAGCAGAGGAACGTCTCGTGAGTGGGACTCTGCAGCATGGAATACTACGCCGAGATTTTCAAAATACAAGTTCGTGACATACTACAGAAGTAAACGCCAACCTGCAGAATATGTACAGTGCGCTACCATTTTTGTCAAAGGATGTGCCAATAGTACACGCTCCTTCACTAGGGACACCTACACGCTGGGAGAGCTCCCGCCTGTCTTGAAGGAGGCAGGAGGTCTACATGCTCAGCTGTCTGCCTGTGACTGGCATGGGGTGACTGGAATCGGGGTGGGCCCAGCCCGGCTAGGCTTCAGTCTCCTTGCTGGAAACAGGTAGGTTGGGTCTCCAGCCCCGCAGCCACAGCCTCGTTTCCTATTACAAAGGTTACAGCAGGCTTCTGTTCCCCAAAGTCAGGGCTGGTTCCTCCCATCTCCTCCAGCCACGTGCAGCTGTCCCAAACCCCAGCCCTGTGCTGGACTCTCCACAACGAGTCAGTCGCCAAGGCTTATCCATTCTGTCTCGCTATATCGCCCAGGCAGGTCTCAAACTCCTGGGCTCAAGCTATCCTCCCGCCTCTGCCTCCCTAAGAGCTGGGATTACAGGTGTGAGCCACCACGCCCAGCTATCCGTCCTGCTTCTAAACCCCACTGGATGGCTCCCTTCCCTGTCGTGCCACCATGTCCCACACAGCCCAGGCCTGTCCTCTCCTGCCCAGACCACCCTCCCTCTATCCTGTCCTCACCAGCCCCAGGGGACCTTTCCAATGAAGTCATGTTGTTCCTTCTCTACTCCAAACCTTGCCATGGTTCCCGACCACCCACCCCAGCGATTCATTTTTGTTGTTGGTGGTGTTAAAAGATATGGACCCCTTCTGAAAATCTCAAAGCTGCTGTTTCCCTTTTTCCAGAAAAATGCACGCACTATAAATATCCTGTCCACCTACTTCTAAAATTTGGGCCGGGCACGGTGGCTCACACCTGTAATCCCAGCACTTTGGGAGGTCGAGGTGGGTGGATCACCTGAGGTTCGGAGTTCAAGACCTGCCTGACCAACATGGCAAAACCCCATCTCTATTAAAAATATAAAAATTAGCCTGGCGTGGTGGCAGGCGCCTGTAATCCCAGCTACTCAGTAGGCTGCGGCAGGAGAATCGCTTGAACCCAGGAGGCGGATGTTGCATTCAGCTGAGATTGCACCACTGCACTCCAGCCTGGGTGACAGAGCAAGACTCTGTCTCAAAAAAGAAAAAAAAAAAAAATTAATGCTTCTGTTGGGCCAGAAACTGTTCCAAGAGCTTTATGAGGATGATTTAGTCTTCCAAATAACCCTACATAGTAGGTATAATCGTGACTATTGCCGTTTCCCAGATGAAGGCACAGAAAGGACAATGCCAAGACTTGGACCTGGACAGCCTGGGCGCGCACACTGCCTCCTGGACAGCCTGGGCGCGCACACTGCCTCCTGGACAGCCTGGGCATACACACTGGTCCCCCCATGGAAGCTGCGCTACAGTATACTGGCTCACAAGCCAAGCCCCAGCTCCTGACCCTCGATGATCAGGACCCCACCGTCCTATCCTGCTACACCCACTATCTCAGCCCTGCAGCTGGTGGCACTGTCTCCTGCAGAGTGGACACCTCTCTCCTCTCTGCTGCATCCTGCCCAGCTTCCTAAGCACACAGGCAGATGCATGCTCCTCCTAAAGCACCTCCTGAAGCCCTTCCTGCAGCTGTTAGCCCCCCTGCCTGGTCCAGGTCTCAGCTTAAACATCACCCCCTCTCAGACCTTCCTGGGCCTGTCTCCCAGGTCAGGTCAGATGCCCCTCGGTGGGCCCACCGCAACCTTCCCTGCAGCTGCCCCAGCAGGGAAGCTTCCTAAAGGGTGGAACCAGGCTGCATTCACCCAACCAGTCTTTCTACTTGTGCAGAAAGTACACCAGTCTATGCCTTGTGAGGACAAACGGGGACAGAAACTGAGGGCCTGCGGGGGGGATGAAGATGGAGACCCAGAGAGAGCAAGCAACAAGTGCAACCAAGAGAAAGGAAAAGAGACCCAGAGAAACAGAGCTTTGGAGGGAACAAGAGAGGAGGTATGAGAGCCCCCAGAGATCAAGGTCACGGGGAGGGTGGTACAGAAAGACCTGGAGAAAGAGCAAGTGTGAGAAGGGGACAGAAAGCCAGAGAAAGAGATCCAGAAAGAGGGTGGGGGCAGGGGGTGCAGCTAGAGACCTGGAGGAAAGAAACAACAGAGTCAGGACACAGAGGCTCGGGGGATGTCCGAGGAGCCCACCTTGATTTCTGGGGCGGTGCTGAACTGTGGAGGCCCATTGAGCAGGGCACCGGCTGCCTTGGCATCACTGAAGCTGGGCGTTGGGGAGCTGGGAGGATTCACAGGCAGTGGCACCAGGAGGCTGGGTCCCCCTGAGTTGTTCCCTGAGCCTGGGGCCACGCCCCCAGCCCCCGTTGGGGCTGCCGCACTGGGTTCCTTCCTGGAGAGAGAGCATGGAAGAGGGGGTTGAGAGGAGGGTCCCTGAGGGTGGGATGGGCAGAGAGGCCTGGCTGGAGAGAGGGGAGACTGCACAGATCAGATGGGATCTGAGAGGGGCAGGTGAGGGCAGACAGATGGGAGAAAGAAGTGGTTCTCTGGGCAAACAAAGGCAGAGCCCAATCTTTGGAATGGTTTCTCATCAGCAGAGCAGAGCTGTGGGGGTGGGGGTGAGGATTCTCGGGTGCTCCACCAGGCCACAGGCTGATCAAAACCACTTGCCCTGGGCAGGTGTTCACAGGGCCCACTCCCCCTTGGGCAGGCCAGCTGGAGCTGGGGTGAGGGGGCAGGAAGCAGGCCTTTCCTTTGTGCACACTGATCTTTCTTAGGGCATTCTTCGGGAAACAGGCAGACCCAGTGGAATGGTCTGAGCTAAGATTTGAAGGAGTGGCTGCAGAGGAATAAGGACTTCGGGACAATTCACTTTGAAAAGTGAAACAGTGACCCTCCGGTGGCAGTCAATTGGCCTCAGGCAGGTAACAGAAATGGGGAGGAAAGGGTATGGGGCTCTTGAGAAAACTTCCACTTAGATGAGAACGTATTTTAGAATGTTCTGAAGGGCAAAGCAGGGAGGCTGATGTAGTTTCCTTGCTGGAAAGAAGTGGGGGTGTAACACCCGAGGGAGATGGAGGATAGCGCTTGGCCATTCCCAGCAGCAAGGGCGGGGGGTTCAGAACCCACCGATGCGGGGGTGAGGCGCCTGCGCCTCTCTGTTTCAAAAGGCTGCCATCCCAACCCTGCCGATGGCCGAGACACTCACGAGGTGCTGGGAGGTGGGTTGTGGGGGCCGGAAGGGGGGCCCAAGGCCTGGCTGCTGGCATTGTTGCCCCCACTGCTGCTCAAAGCCACCTCTGCCGGGCTGTCTGCCACAACTGAGCTGTAACCTGGGAACAAAGAGTAAATGGAAAGGGCTGCTGCCTGCTGCCCAGCCCCGCCCACGCCCCCCACCCCGCTGCCTCCTCACTCACTGGTGGCGCCATTCTGCTTGCCAGCCCCTCCACCGGCACTGCTGTTACTACTGCTGCTGCTCCCTCCACCTCCGCTGCCGCCGCCTCCGCCTCCGCTAGGCTGGACGCTGGGGGGCCGGGGCTGGGTCGTGCTGGGCCCACTGGGAGCTGGTGGGGCCACAGCCTGGGCATAGGGAGCAGGGGTGCCCGAGTTGTGGCTGGGAGCTGGACTGGCCTTGGGGCCCAGGGCACTTGGGGGTGCTGCGGGGGCGGGGACCCCATTGTTGCCAGGAGTGGTGCTCAAGGCAGAGGCAGCAGGCGGGGGGCCGGAGGGGTAGGTGGGCGGCACAGCTGGGGACTGA
This sequence comes from Homo sapiens, assembly GCF_000001405.40. Taxonomy (NCBI): domain Eukaryota; kingdom Metazoa; phylum Chordata; class Mammalia; order Primates; family Hominidae; genus Homo; species Homo sapiens. The sequence goes on along the minus strand of NW_003571055.2, from coordinate 123,042 downwards.
GGGTGCTGGTTGCTGTGGACAGGCTTGGAGCCGTTTTTGGCTGGAGACTGCGGGTGGGAGAGAGCAGAGGGTCAGGACCCAGTGGGCCAGCTGGTCTCCCTCACCACCCCCACCTCAGGCTCCATCTTTGTCCCAGCAGCCTCCTCTCTGGCCTCGCTGCCCCCACCTGCTCCTGCCCTCTTGGGGACCTGGGTGACCTTACTCACCCTCATGGCTTCAATCACCTTCATGCTTAAAACACTCACACTGATTTCCAGCCTGCCCAGCTTCCCAAGTCCTGCCTGGACACCGCCCCATGGACACCCCCACAGGGATCTGACACACAACTTAGGTTGTCAGCCAGAGAAGATCCATCTGTTGGAAGCCAGAGGACTAGTGGGAAACACTTAAGTGTTCTCAATATGAGATTAGCTGGAGCCGCCTAATGTCCAAGAGTAGAAGGAAAAACAGCTGGAAATTGGATAGTAATTCTGAATGTCACCTGAAGGGTCACAGAAGCTACTCACAGGGCTGGAAGTTACCAGCACTCCAGAAAGTGGTGGGAGGGTAAATGTGCTCATGGTATCCCTACCGCAGGCAATCTGTGGACAGCACTCCGGCTGCTGAGCCTAACCACCTCCTGGGCTTCTTTCCAGCCACCCCACAGGCACCTTGCGCTTACCAAGCGCCCAACAGGACTGACTACCCACTTCTCTCCTGGGCATCGCTGCTTGGCAGTGGGGGCCTGGGAAGGTGGCAGAGCCCAGCCTGGCCCCTGGAGTACCTGCCTCAGTGTCTCTCCTCATCACCTCCTGGCCCTGTTGCCCGCCCTCACTACTACCTGCGGGTCCCCTTAGTCTCCACACCAGCCTCCTCAATGCCCACTCAGGGTGTCCCCTTGGAACCATCCATCCCGTTAGCCCACAGAGGGGCCTCAGGCCCATGCTGCTCCTGCCTAACATTGTTCTGTAGCAGCGTTTCCGAAAGCGTGCTCCTGTCCTGGGAGATGTTAAAGGAGTTGAAGAAGCACTGCCCGCCACCGTCTCCTCTCAGAAATTTGCAGTGTGTATTATCAGCACAGCAAAGGCCCCATCGCTTCCTAGGCTTATTGGACTCTGGAGGCCACTCAGGTCCACAAAGCCTGAGCCCCTCAGCCTGACAGTCCCAGTCCCTGTGCTCACAGTTGGGCCCTGGCCCTGCAGACCTGGCCAGACTCATCTCTCCTCACTTCCAAACTTTCTGTCACAACTTGCCCATGTTACTGGCTGCCACCTCTCCCTGCCAGGCAAACTCACCTGACTGTGAAGCCCAGGGCACTCCACAGCAGCATCTCCTGACTGCCTGGCCAGGCCAAGGGTGACCTGTGTGCTACCCCCTTGACCACAGCACCAGTCACCTGTCCACTTGCCCTGCCCACCTGCCCTCAGGGCAGCACTGATTTCTGAGCCACCTGTGTCCACCAGCCCAGCACAGTGGCCGGCGCTCAGGCCTCAAGATGCCTTTGGGAAGCAACAGAGGAGTGAATGGCGTGCCCACCCGGTCCAGGCTCACACCCACCTGGCTGACTTCACTGTCTGTGGAACGTCCCCTCTTCTTATCATCTTCAGAGTTTTCCTGAGGTAGGGGAGGCAGAATAGAAACCTGTGTGACCTCTGGGGCTCTGATGGAGAACCGCCAATCTCTGAATGCCCCGGGGACCTGGGCCCAATTGACTGCCATTGCGGCCCCAGAGCTGGTCAAATGGCTGTCCTTAATCTGCCTGGAGAAACCATCTCAATTCAGGCTCTCCAGTCTTCTTGTTTTCTGGGAGCCAGCACTGACCCACCAGCCTCTTAAGGATCTGGGAACCTGCTCTCCACAGGGAAGCCAACCCTTGGATCCCTGCCCAAGGTGGCCAGCTACCCAGCCTCCTCAGGCAGCCCAGGCACCGGCCCCTCCCACTTCCCAGATCCAGGACCTAAACTGGCGCGGGATGCACCCTATTGCTCTTTATGTCCTTTAGGGACCCAGATATAGGACCTTAGCGTGTGCTCCAAGAGCCTAGACCCTGGATACCTAGATCTGTGTTTCCTCAATTACGCTCCCATAGCCACTTTGGAGTGACCCAGATTTGTCTCCTCGAGTCCTGCCCTGCTGGAAACACAAGGTACTAGTGTCCCGTGGGGCCTCACCGTGGTACAGTTGGCTGGGCTGGGCGGGATGGGAGAGCTGGAGGTGGTTGAGGTGGGCGTGCTGCTGGACTGGTTGAAGATCTCATCCTCCATGTGGCTGTGGCTGGGAGGGGAGGTGGCGACCAGCGCCTGTGCTGTGGGGGCAGAAGAAGGGCATGCTTAGCTGGCTCACACAGCCCATTCTGGGCCCTCACTTCCTGTGCCACGATCAGCCCCAGGGCCTCACGAATGTCCTCGAGGTCCAGGTCATCGTAGAGAAACTCGTTCTCCTCGAAGTCGGGGTCCTGGGATGAGTCAACATAGTACTCAACGTCGTCCTTGATCTTGCGGATGGCGTCAACGAGGATGGAGTCATTGTCCAGCATGCGCAGGATGGTCTCTAGCATGCGCACGTGGTAGCGGTGCTTCTCGATGTGCCGCTTCAAGCCCTCAATCCGGTCCTGCTTCTGCTGGCGAGCCCAGGGCCAGGCTCAGGGGCTGCAGAGCACCTGCTTGGCCCCTCCTGCCCCCACAGAACCTGTCCTCAGTCCCTGACCCCTGTGGAGACCCAAAGCCTCCACGCCATCCCCTTCGGGGTGGGGCAGTATGGGGTCCACCCACCCTCTGAGCCCTGTGGGGACCAATCTTAGCCTTGACATCTTGGGATCCCACTGCTCCCTCCTCTCCCCACACCTTTCTGGCTCCAGGAGTCCTTGGAAACCTCTAAAAGACCCAGAGGTCCTTGTGCCATCCCACGACTTGGCCTCCATCTGCACCTCACCTGACAGCCCAGATTTCTCAACTGAGCCCGCCCACCACTGTGACTGCCTCTGGCATACAGATACCCTCCGACCTGCTCCAGCAGTAACAATGATAACCCCCATTTGTGAGGAGCTTGCTGTTTAGAATTGTGATATCTGTCATCACTAGGCCCCCAACCCTACCCATTTATCCCTGAGAGAGCCCAGATTCCTAAGCCTCGCTCCTGCCCTCCCCTCAAGGCCCCTTTAGGATTTAACATCTTAGCCTTGGTTCCAAATCTCTGCTCTGTTCAAGGACCCATCATCTCCCCGAAAGCCCCTGGTTCCCAAACCCCTCAGAGTCTGACACCCAACCCTGTCATCTTCCACTTCCTGACCCTCTCCCACCCACAGCTTCCCTGAGGACCCGGCTCTCCCCTCCCTGTCTTTCTGGTTTCAGCAAGTCTGTACAGTTTGTATCCCTTTGAACTCATACCCCACAATCCCGGATTTTAGAACCTGGGACCCCAACATCCAGCTTTGTCCCAGACTCCTGTCTTCCTTCAGGCCTGGTTCTCTGCCTTCTCCATGTTCTGCCTTGTCTCTACCCACTGTGCTCTCCCTAGGACCAGGGCCCTCTGGGTGCCAGGAGGCCTCTTGCCATGGGTGTCCTTCAGGTCTCACTTTTACTCTGTGGCCCAAGCTCAACCTGCACTCACCTTCCCCCAAGTCGCTCCTCTTCACAAAGGCCCCACGGTCTACCCAGACACCCAGGGGACCCTGAGATTCTGTCTGACCTCCTTCCTGCCCCACGCGTGCAGCTGCTAAGCCCTCCCAATCCTGTCTCTCAAATCCCTAATCCCGGCTGTTGGCCCTGTCCGCCTGAGGAATCCAGGCCCCAACTCCCAGGAGCATAAATGACTGGCCTCCTGCTGGCCAGCCCATTCCCATGCCCATCCCCATCCCAAAGGTGTCGGGTCTCCCTCACTCACATCCTTGTCGCCCTTCTTCTTGCGTGTCTGCACTGACAGTGACTCCACTTCACTCTCAAACTGGTCCACCTGCATGTTGAGCGTGTCGATGGTATTCTAGGGGAGGGAGAGGAAGAGGAAGCCCATCAGCTAGGGTTCCGCCTACACCCAGGGCTCAGGATCCTCAGAGTTCACCTCCTCTTCTCTACCCCAACTCACCGTGAGCCACTGGCCAACCTCTTCCTTCTCCTTCTGGGCAGGATCTACCTTCTGGGCCAGGCCCAGGCCCTCTTTGCTGTAAGCTTTGGTTTTGGTCTCTCGTTCCACAACTTTGAACCGTTCCATTTGCTGTAGAGAGTGCAGTTGGCAGGGGGGCTCTCAAAGGTGGGAAAGGAGCTGACTAAGGGCCAGCAGACACTCCGACCTGAGCCTCGTGACCCTACTTTCTGAGCTCTGAGTCCGCTGCCTCTTCACTTCCCTTAGGTGCAGAAACCTTACTTCTCTTGAGGACCTCTGGGGTCTGGCCGCTCTGCCTCCGCCCCTTGGGATCTCAAGAATCTGGTGACCTTCCCACCTCTCTGGGACTCAGGCTCTGGGCTCCTACCGTCTCAATGAGCTTGCGGTTGTCTATAAGCTGCCTCTTGTCCTTGATCTCGTTGGACGCTACCCATGTCTTGATTTGGTCCCTCAGCCGCTGCAGATGGGAAAAGCAAGAAAGTCAGACCTCAGGACCCAGGAACTGGGGCCCACAGCTCCTTCTCCCTGGGACCCAGCAGTCCACTCTCCCAGTTCCCTCTACCCTCAGGACAAAGGCGTCCAGGCCCCCAGCCCCCTCACTTGTAGCTTCTTAATCTCCTTCTTTAGGTCAGCCTCATACTTTTCTTTCTGGTTCGCGTTGGCTGCATTGTGGAGCTGAGGGATGGAGAGAATTGAGAAGTCAGTGTGGGAGGGGATGTCCCAGTACCCACTCCAGTGATTCTTCCTTATGCTAGGGACTCGAGGACCCCCCCCAACCCCTACCCCCAATCCATCTTAGAGCTGATTCTCTTAGGTCCTCAGCATCTGCATATGTAGCCCCTCCCGCTGGTCAACACCCAGAGGTCCTGAGCCGCCTTCCTGTGCCCTCCTCTCTGAAGACCCAGATTATTAGGGTCTCAGCCCCTGTACCTTCTGCCAAATATCTTCAAACTGCTCCACGCCCTCGGACACCTTCTTGAGGCAGCGATCAATCTCACCTGGCCAGGGAGGAACAAGGCTGTGAGAATCCTGCCCAGGTGGCAGGTATCTAAAGAGCAGTCCTCAGAAGAGGGAGCATGTGGCTACAGGTGCAGCAGGAAGTCAGTCTAGTACCTTGGAGTTTGCGCTTGTCCGCCATCTTCCCTGCCCTACAGACGCACTCTCTTCATACTCTCTTGGAGACGGACGCTGCTAGGAGAGATTGGAGAGGAATTAACACGTATTCCCTGGCTGGTAAAAACCCAGAGACATGGACCTAGTCAGCATAGTGAGGTAGGTGGGACTGGTAAAGAGAAGAAGCATTTGCTATCTGACAAGAGACCAGCCCCAGTTCTCCTGATGCTCGCTTGACTGCCCAGCATAGTGTCTGGCCAACAGGGGACCCCATAAGTTTGTTGAAACAAGAAAAGTTACATACTTTTTTGTGTGCCTCTGACTCAGGAAGTGGAAAATTCCTAGAGCATGGAGTACCTTCTCCCCAGAATACACTCAAAAAGGTTTTTCAGAGCAGGACAGTCATGCTGCACACAGCTGATGACTGGGATGGAGGCATTAGCCCTGGAAATCACACTTCCTACTCAGAGGGGCTGGGCAGAGGTGGCTAGGAGAGGTCATCCCTCAGACAAGTCAGGAGACAAATGAAACTGGCAGCTCACAGAGAAGGGCGTGTGTGTGTGTGTGTGTGTGTGTGTGTGTGTGTGTGTAAGCTGTAGGTAGGAGAAGAAAGATTGGGGGTGGGGGAAAACGACGGCGAGCAGAGATGCCGAAAGCTGTGAAGAGCTGAACCCGCTCATGCAGACAGGGCTGAATGCCAAGTAGAAGGGACTCAAACCACCAAGACATTTATTCCAGAGCAGGATCCTTAAACCAAAAGGAAATAACACTCCTAACCCAAAGAAGCTAATACCAAGAAGGCTTAGAGATTTGGGGGCAGAAGGCAGTACCCAAGAGAGACCTGGGAGAAGACAGAAATCTTACTAAGATAAGAGGGTGCAAAGGTACCGCAGCTGTGAGGGAGCCGATCTGCACTCATGGAGGAATCCCATAGCAAGTGGATTGGTAATTTAGAGTCAGGGAGACATAGACCATCAGGGCAGGAACCCAAAACTTCAAGAGAGGAGCGTCTTTATTTTAAAGGAAGTTACCTGGAACCCAGAGAAGACTGAGGTCAAAAGGGAGTTCCAAGGAGCTTTAGTCCAAGGGAAGACATACCTTAGGGCCTGACAGCGAGACCAGGGGAGCCCTGGGAAGAGAGGCTTATGCCTCAGAAGAAGACTTCTGAGATACCAGCGGAGATTGCCCTCTTCCCCTCCAGGGAGGGGGCCTACAATGAAAAGCACAGTTCCCTGGGATCCACGGGCCGCTCCCACTCTACGTGTGCAGGGCAGGGAACCCTGGAGTAGTCACTTACTGTAAAGACAGAAACAGCCCCATACTGAGGAACAAGAGCCTCAATACAGAGGGAAGTCACACCAAAAGAGTCCTCACCCACAAAGAAGGGAACATCTGGCAAACAGTGCTATCCAACAGAACTTTGCAATGCTGGAAACACTCTATTTGCGCATATCTGTTGGCCACTGAACATCTGAAATGTGGCAAGTGTAATGGAGGAACTGAATTTTTCATTTTTAACTAGTTACTAATCACCACATGTGACTAGCAGCAACCATATGGGACGGATATGCTTTAGAACAAGAAGCCCATAAAGGACAGGGCTGGTACCTTACCCCCAGGGAGAATTTTCCCAACACCGCAGGGACCCATTCTGGGTGATAATAGGTAGGGGTGCTACCTTACACTTGAGGGAATTTAAATCTCCTCAGTAAAAGGCCCAACCTAAAGAAAGCCGCAGCAGCCCCCGCCCAGGTCAGCTATCACGCCCTACCTGGGGAATCTCTAAGAAGGCAAAGCAACCAACAAAAGGACCCAGGAGAAGGTGCCACAGTGGGGATTCAGGCTGAGGAGGGGAAAGCCCCTTTGACCCAGGGAGCTCACACAAGGCAAGGGCCTGGACACCAGAGCTCAGGTGTGCAGGGATCCTCACCAAAGTCCAACACCCCAACACAGAAAAGCCTCTTACTGCATAGGGGGAACAAGAATGTGAAACGAGAGTTTACACTCCCTCTTTCCATCCCAAGAACCCAACAGAGGGTCATGGGCAGGTGCTCCAGCCCAGAGAGAGAAGAGGTCTCATGGTCTACACCCCTAAACAAGGCAATCAACACCTTAGGCAGGTGACGCCCTCCCTGTGTCTCCACACGGAAAGGACTGGTATCCTAGTGCAGAGGAAGAATACCCACAGAGAGGAGACCACACTGTGGCAGCAAGAGAAGGAAGTCCTGGAGGGGTCACAAGCCAGAAGGAGGGGAACAAGAGCGCTAACCCAGGGAGGTGATGTTTCAGACAGAACAGTGTGACATCGAAGTCGGCTACAGCTGAGACCCAGTGAGGAGGCAGCTCCTCCACAGAGAAGGGGCAAGTGCCAGAGGCCCAGGGTACTTGTCCCCTAGAGAGGCTGGAGCCTTAGCCACAGTAGAGACAACACCTTCCCCGCTAAGAAAATCCTTATATCATGAGGGTATCTGTACCTCTGGTCCCCCCAGCAAAGGACCAGAGAGAAGGGAAGCTGGAGCCTGAGTCTCGAAGCAGAGACGCCGCCAGAGAAGAAAGAGCCCCATTTGCTGTAGTCAGGGGGGCATCCACCAAGATCCTCCAAGGAAGGTGGTGATCGCAGGTCCACTCTCAGGCGTGAAGAACCTGTGCTCCAGCAGCAAAGGCTCTCCAAGAGCACTGAGGAATCTGGGAACCTCGGCCCAGGAGGAGACTTACCCAAGAGGAACACACATCCCCACAGGGAAGGGACCCACAAGGCGGGTGGCGGGGCGGGGGGAGGTGAGCAGGACACCAGCCTCACAGGAGCCAACACGCTAAAATCAGAGCCAAAACCAGTAAAGAAGAGCCCCCCAGACTTCATCTCAGGGAAGATGATACCACCACACAAAGACTCGAGGAGGGAGGGGCAGGAGGTCAGCCCTGGGAAACTAACACCGGGTGGTCCTTAACCTTGGGGGCCGTCATGTGCCCACAGAGTGGTCTTTGTCATGAGGCACCTTTGATCTGGGAGAGCTTCCGCCTCTGCAGCAAGGAGCTCTGAGAAGTGATGTTGAAGGGTGATCCTTAACCCAGGTGGCTGCTGACGTGGCCACACAGAGGCTCTGAGACTCCAGAAGAAGGATGCGTTAGGGCCTGGGGTAGAGGTAGTCATCTCCACTGAGATGCCCCATGCCAAGGGTGGGGGGCTGGAATCTCCCACCTTGGAAAGTCTACACCAGAGAAGTCTCTGGTCCCAGGGACAGGGTCTACAGTGGAGTCTCCCGCTTGAGACTCAGGTATCTTACATCCACACAGCCAGGAAACTATGCCTTACCCCATACAGTGACAAATCAAGAGGGGGTTTTGGAAGCATGAGCCGGGGGCACCTGCATCCGAGAGGGGTCCTCAGCCTTACGGTGGGGACACATGCAGAGGCGTGGACACCTCAAATCCAGAAAAGCAGCCATACCAATACCAAGGATGGCAAGAACCTTATCCCTGGGGGAGGTGACACCAAGAAAGGGTCCTTACCCTGGAGAGAAGGCACAGCCCCAGAGGGAAGAGCCCCCACCTCGCAGTACAGGAACCCGGGTCTAGGAAGCTTCCTACTCTCATGGGGTACCAGCAGCGGGGCCAGAAGGCGAAACCCTTGTTCTCCAACTGCTGACACCCAGCGTAAGGGTAGATGGGAAGTCAACAAACCCACAGTGTGGGATCTGATGCAAATATCAAGGGCAGTGGGCTTCTTGGTCCTTGGAGAGCTGACACCCTAAAGGAGGAGACTGGTGTGAAGATGGAAGAAGCCTCATACTCAGGCAGGGGTGAAGGGAGGGAGGGGAGACATCAAAACCCCTCACCAAAAGGACAGGAGAGCTCACCCCGGGGTGGGTGGCCGCCCTGCACTGAGAGGCAGGGACTGCTCAGAAAGAGGGGCTGGTGCTGCCCGCAGTGGGAGCTCACTAACATGGACAGCGTGGCGGCTTAGTGTCTTTCACCAGGCACCTGAGCGCCAGGGGATCCCAGCAGCCCCCAGCAACAAGACCACAGTGGTCCTGATATCACTGGGAGACGCCCACACCCAGAAGGTCGGAGAGTCACGATGCAGGGGAGTTCAAGGCTGCAAAGCCAGGGGCAGACGCCAGGATCAAAGAAGTGTGAGAGCTGAGACCAGACGTGGGCCACACTGAGGACGGTCCTGTACCCCAGGTGGGGGAAAGCCAAACTCCCCCAAAAAGGCAGGCGCCCAGTGCAGCGGGATGGCGAGGCTGGAGCCACCCAGGGCGCTACTCGCTATGAGAGGGAAGAGCTGCAGACTACAGAGGTGGAAACTTCGGCAAAGGCTCCAACTAACGGGGAGTTTCTCCTCCACTCCTCTCCCAAGAGGCTCCCATCCGATACAGACGGGCAGCTGGAACCTGAGATCCAGGGGAGGCTGCGCTCCCGGGAGCAGTGAGGAGGGATGCGGAGGGCGGCCTCGGTCCTGGGAAGGGTGACTCCCCCACCCAGCTGGGGTCCTCGTCCCGACCACCACCCCCCCTCCCCGCCACCGTCGAGGGAGAAGCCCCGGCGCGGAGGCTGCCCCACAACGCGAAGGACCGAGGCCGAGGGGGGCAGGCACCTGAGCCCCGAGAGGGCGGGCACCTGGGACCAGGGGCGCCTCCATCCTTCCAGCCAGGAGCCAATACCGACGCGGAGAGGGGCGGGCACCTCGCGCCCGGGAGGCTTCGCACCCTCACACCCCTACCGGGGGGCCCGACGCGATGCCACGCGGGGAGGCGGCGGCGGGCGGGGCCCGGGGTCCGGGTCGCGGAAGGACCCCCGGGAGGCGCTGAGGAACGTGAAAGAGGCGCAGGAACGGGAGGGCGAGAGGGAGGGAGCCGCCCCCCGCCGGGAGCCCCGCGCTGCAGAGGCGGCGGCAGGGGGCAGGCGAGGGGAGGCCATGTCGCGACAGACGGCGGTGTCGCCAGGGCGGGAGGCGGCGGGGAGGGCGGCCGATGGCGCCGGGGGGAGGAAGGGAAGGGGTCCGGCCCAGTCGAGCCTGACGCTCTCACCACAGGAGCTGGCGCCGCCGCTGAGGAGCGTATCGCGACAGGCGGGGGAGGCGAGCGCCCGCCGCCTTTTTCTCGCGCCCCGGGCCCGGGCGCTATCGCGATAGCGGCGCGAAGCGGAAGTGGGGTTGGGGGAGTGGGCCCGGGGTTGTTCTGACGACGGGGGTCGGGGCTCAAGGGAGGCCGCGGCGTCTGCCGATGGCTCCGCGGAAGCTGACCGGGCCCGGTCCAAGATGGCGGCGGCGGAGGAGGCCTCCCCTCCTCTCTTCTCGTCTCTGGCGCCGACCCGCCCCCGAGTCCCGAATATAGGCCAGTCATTGCTCCTGCTGAACGTCGCTCCTGACCCTTGGAGGCTTTCTATTGGTTCCTGGCAGGGATGCGCCCTGCCCCCTTTCGCGGATTGGGTGATCGCTCCAAGGCGCGGCGTTCGATTGGCCTCCCGCGCAGGCTGCTAGGATTGGCTCAGGTTTTCCTCCCCGCTCCTCCTCCTCCTCCCGCCTCAGGGCACAACACGCCAGCGCGAGGACCCGAACGTCAATCAAGAGACCTGTGTCGTGCTGATTGGATGTATCCGCCCCCCTCTCTTAAAACAATTGGTCTGGGGGAGGAGCTACGACAGTCCAGGGGCGGGAAGTCGTCCGTCAAGTTTAGAGCTCTTTTTAATTGGTTGCGGGGGCATATTCTGCCTTGAAGTCATTGGTTGGTCCTGGAAGTGGGTGGGGAAAGCGGAGGAAGGCATGGAGTGTGGGCGTTAGGGGCCGCGTACCTAATGGGAGACAGACAGGTGCCTTTAAAGCGGGGGCCGAGCCGAAGTCATCTGCCAATCAAAACAGCCACAGGGCCAAGTGGGAGGAGCTGGGCAAGAAAGTCCACCCCTTTTTCTTCGTTGGCCCTAAAAGTTATCATTCATGCTAGTTTGACCAATAGCGTGGCGAGTGGGCGGTAGCTGCTCGTAGAGCGTGTGAAAGAGGGTGTATGTAGCTGGCAGAAGTGGGACTTGGTCGCAACCGTTGCGTCCCGGCCAGGTAAGCAGCTTCCCTCTCAGCTGCCTCGTCTTTCTCCAAGTGCCTCTATGTTGGCACATCTCTGAAATTCATTATTTGCTGAGTGAAAGAAGAAAGGGACCAGAGACACTGCTTTAAGTCTCTGGCACCGTGCATAGCAGAATTGGTTGGGAAGCGTGAGGCATGGAGTTTTTGTCCTGCCCCTGCCTGGTTAGGCGACCAGATGGTAGGACAGTCATTCTCCTCTGCGTCTCCGCTTCCTTAGTGTGTTGAGGACGCTGCAGAAGGTACAGAGGAGACGGGTGGCTCCCTAATGCCTGCTCGTTTCAGGTCTCAGCTCTGTTGTCTTCTTGGAGAGAAAACTTCCCTGACCTCCCTCCCGGGCGGAGCGCTCCTGCGCGCCTTGTTCGTTAGGATTTATTTTTGTACGTCTACCGTCATTTTCGTAATTATTCGGTTTCCCTGTCTGGATTTTGCATCTCCAGCACTTAGCACGCAGGAAGTAGTCAGTAACCATTTGTCAAAGGAATAGATGAATGAATGTGAGGAATGACTTGTGATTGAAAACTTACTAGACACTGAGACTTCCACGAACTGGGAGGCATTTGCCCAGGGTCACACAACCGAGATGGGAAGCCAGATTCGCCCCTTCCTGTCTAGGTGGTGGAAAGTAAGATAAATCCCAGGGAGAGGTGAACGTGAAGGAGGATGGAGCCGTTCAGCACCACCCGCATCAGAATGGTCTGAGGCAAGGGGGAGGAGGAATGCTTGCGAAAATGCATATTCGTAGGCCCACACACAGACAACGGGAATGAAGCCTAGAGTTATTGTTCTAGAGCTCTGCTATTCAAACTGTGGCCCCTGGACAAAGTATCGCTTCTCAGACATCTCCGGAATCACCTAGGAATGTGTTAAAATGCAAATTCTGCTTTTCTAACAAGTGCCGCAGTCCACGGTCCGCAGTTCACTTTGCACACCGCGGATCTAGCGATGACTTTCCAACTTGGCTGCACATCAGAGTCACCTGAGGAACTTGTTGTTATTGTTGTTGTTGTTGAGACGAAGACTTGCTCTTGTCCCCCAGGCTGGAGAGCAGTGGCACAATCTAGGCTCACTGCAGCCTCTGCCTCCCGGGGTTCAAGTGATTCTCCCGCCTCAGCCTCCCGAGTAGCTGGGATTACAGGCGCCCGCCACCACGCCCGACTAATTTTTGTATTTTTAGTAGAGACGGGGTTTCACCATGTTGGCCAGGCTGGTGTCGAACTCCTGACCTCAGGTGATCCGCTCGCCTCAGTCTCCCAAAGTGCTGGGATTACAGGCGTGACGACTGCGCCTGGCCTACCTGAGGAACTTTAAAAAAAAAAAATTTTTTTTAAATTAGAGGCCAGGCCGGGCCGGGAGAATCACTTGAACCCGGGAGGCAGAGGCTGCAGTGAGCCTAGATTGCGCCATTGCACCTGTAATCCCAGCACTCTCAGAGGCCGAGGTGGGCGGATCACCTGAGGTAGGGAGTTCAAAACCAGCCTGGCCAACATGGTGAAACCCCGTCTCTACTAAAAATACAAAAATTAGCTGGGCATGGTGGCATGTGCCTGTAATCCCAGCTACTCGGGAGGCTGAGGCGGGAGAATCACTTGAACCTGGGAGGCAGAGGTTGCAGTGACCCGAGATTGCGCCATTGCACTCCAGCCTGGGTGACAGAGCAAGACGCCGTCTCAAAAAATAAAAATAAAAAATAAAAAAGTCCAGATACCCAGGCTTACACTGGACCAACTAAAACGATCTTGAGGTGGGAGCCAGTGTCTCTCTCACCCAGGCTGGAGTGCAGGGGCGCCATCTCGGCTCACTGCAACCTCTGCCTCCCAGGTTCAAGCCATTCTCCCACCTCAGCCTCCCAAGTAGCTGGGATTACAGGCGTGAGCCACCGCGCCCAGCGTAAGAGCCGCTTACAGAGTCTTCTTTTCTAGAGCAGTGCTTCTGAAATGTGGCCTTGGGTCAGGCACGTACCCATCACCTGGGAACTTGTTTGAAAGGCACATTTTTGAGCCCCACCCTAGACTGAATCAGAAACTCTGGGCCCAGCAACTATGTTTTAACAAGTCCTCAGTGTAATTCTGAAGCGCATTAAATTCTGAGAACCTCTGTTCTGAAAGTACGAGGGCTGCAGGCCCAGGCGACTCAAGATTCCTTTCCTGAGATTGACACCCTCATGCCACAGCCCCATTGGTAGATGCCGGATATTTTGGCCAAGGGAGATGGGGGATTCTGAACAGGGTTGTGGACCACGGGTCCTTCCCTGGCAGACCAGTATGTAGAGATCAGCAAAGGTTGTCATTTTCAAACAGGGTTGACCCAGAGGGTCAGGGATAACATTGAGAAAACAGACTTGAGTTATACAACCTGGGGTAGTTCAGCCACTCAAGGGAACCTCCTGAGTGTGTCGACTTTTTGACTTGAGGAAGGAGAGAGATTTAGAGATTGCCACTGAGGTCCAGAGACAGAGCTCTGGGTTGAAGGACAGGGATCCAGAGATACACAGAGTGGTGACGGGGAGGCCCAGAGAGGGGAACAGAAAGAGCAAAATCTCAGACAGGACCTAGAAAGTCAGAGGGAGACCCAGATAGCATGAGCTGGAGAGAGGGAGGGAGAGAGAGAGAGGGAAGGTGGAGAGAGGGAGGGAGAGAGGGAAGGTGGAGAGAGGGAGGGAGGGAGGGAGAGAGGGGAGGTGGAGAGAGGGAGGGAGAGGGGAGGAGAGAGGGAAGGTGGAGAGGGAGGGAGAGGGAAGGTGGAGGGAGGGAGAGGGAAGGTGGAGGGAGGGAGAGGGAAGGTGGAGAGAGGGAGGGAGGGAGGGAGAGAGGGAGGGGAGGTGGAGAGAGGGAGGGGAGGTGGAGGGAGGGAGAGGGGAGGAGAGAGAGGGAGAGAGAGGGAAGGTGGAGTGAGGGGAGGTGGAGAGAGGGGAGGTGGAGAGGGAGGGAGAGAGAGAGGGGAGGTGGAGAGAGGGAGGGACAGAGAGAGGGGAGGTGGAGAGAGGGAGGGAGAGAGAGGGGAGGTGGAGAGAGGGAGGGAGAGAGAGGGGAGGTGGAGAGAGGGAGGGACAGAGAGAGGGGAGGTGGAGAGAGGGAGGGACAGAGAGAGGGGAGGTGGAGAGAGGGAGGGACAGAGGGAGGGGAGGTGGAGACAGGGGAGGTGGAGAGAGGGAGGGAGAGAGGGGAGGTGGAGAGGGAGGAAGAGAGAGAGGGGAGGTGGAGAGGGAGGAAGAGAGAGAGGGGAGGTGGAGAGAGGGAGGGAGAGAGAGGGGAGGTGGAGAGAGGGAGGGACAGAGGGAGGGGAGGTGGAGAGAGGGAGGGACAGAGGGAGGGGAGGTGGAGACAGGGGAGGTGGAGAGAGGGAGGGAGAGAGAGAGGGGAGGTGGAGAGAGGGAGGGAGAGAGAGGGGAGGTGGAGAGAGGGAGGGAGAGAGAGGGGAGGTGGAGAGGGAGGAAGAGAGAGAGGGGAGGTGGAGAGAGGGAGGGAGAGAGAGGGGAGGTGGAGAGAAGGAGGGAGAGAGAGAGGAGGTAGAGACCTGGAGGCATCATCTTCCCACCAGGCTGCTGCTTGTCCTGGTAACATCTCTTAGGTAACTAACAGAAGCCCGACCTTGTAGGTCAGGTGACTAGCGCTGCCTCCTTAGTACCACCGTGTAGCCCAGCTCCGGAGCACATAGTAAATGGAACCCCTGGAGTTGCTCTTCCTTAACCTCTCCAGGGAGACGGTTTCATGCCACCCGCTAGGACAGCCCCTGCTGTCCCCTGGAAACTCTCCTGACTGTCTGCAGGCCACATTCCCCTCAGTCCAAGTAAAGGCGCTCCTGGCCGAGCCCCGGTTCCCGAGACTCAGTGACTGGAGGTCAGGGGAGGGGAAGTGTGCTCCTTCTGCTCACCTGGCAGGACTTTTATAGCAACCAGGTCCTACCAGGGCAGGAAGCCTGCCTGCTTCGCCTGTGCCCGGCTCCACACAGTCCCTCAACACTGGTTATAAATAAGAGGCTGGGCCAGGCACAGGGTAATCCCAGCACTTTGGGAGACGAGGCAGGCGGATTATTTGAGGTCAGGAGTTCGAGACCAGCCTGGCCAACATGGTAAAACCCCATCTCGGCCGGGCGCGGTGGGTCACACCTGTAATCCCAGCACTTTGGGAGGCCGAGGCGGGCAGATCACAAGGTCAGCAATTCAAGACCAGCCTGGCCCAAATGGTGAAACCCCGTCTCTGCTAAAAATACAAAATTAGCCAGGCGTGGTGGCGGGCGCCTGTAATCCCAGCTATTCGGGAGGCTGAGGCAGGAGAATCACTTCAACCTGGGAGGCGGAGTTTGCAGTGAGCCAAGACCATGTCATTGCACTCCAGCCTGGGTGACAGAGCAAGACTCCGTCTGAAAAACAAACAAACAAACAAACAAACAAACAAAACCCATGGGCGCCTGTAATCCCAGCTACTCAGGAGACTGAGGCAGGAGAATCACCTGGACCCGGGAGGTGGAGGTTGCCATGAGCCAGGATCATCCCACTGCACTCCAGCCTGGGCAACAGAGTGAGATTCTGTCTCAAAAAAAAAAATAATAATAATAATAAGAGGCCAGACACAGCGGCTCAAGCCTGTAATCTCAACACTTAGGGAGGCTGAGGTGGAAAGCTCACTTGAGCACAGGAGTTCAAGCCCAGCCTGGGTAATAGAGCACGACCCTGTCTATAAACAATTTAAAAATGGGGCTGGGGTGGTGGCTCACACCTGTAATCCTGGCACTTTGGGAGGCTGAGGTGGGCATATCATGAGGTCAGGAGTTCGAGAACAGCCTGACCAACATGGCGAAACCCTGTCTCTACTAAAAACTATAAAAATTAGCGGGACATGGTGGCACATGCCTGTAATCCCAGCTACTCAGGAGGCTGAGGCAGGAGAATTGCTTGAACCCGGGAGGTAGAGGTTGCAGTGAGCCAAGATTGCACCACTGTACTCTAGCCTGGGCAACAGAGCGAGACTCCACCTCAGAAAAAAAAAAAAAATTTAAATTAACCAGGAGGCCAGCTGTGCTGGTTCATGCCTGTAATCCCAGCCCAGGAGTTTGAGGCTTTAGTGAGCTTCATCGCATCACTGTACTCCAACCTGGGCAACAGAGACCCCGTCTCTAAAAAACCCAATCATAACAGGACCTGGTTATAGGGCGCTGATGGCAAGTCCCATGCTAAGTGCTTTCTGTGCATTCTTTCCAGTCCTGGGCACCTGGGCGTAGGTGTGGAGGCTTGGAAAGGTGAGGAGGCTGGCCTGAGGTGGACAGCAATCCCGGTCGGCCTGCGCTGAGATCTGCGGCTGTTGGCAGCCACATCATTTGCTATCAAAGTGACTGCGGCTCTCCAGGGGGTTGGAGAGGGCTTTTTCCTTCTGGGATCCCATGACGAGAAAGTAACGGGGAAGGGAGTGGGCCTAGACACCGCTTGGACCCGAGGGCCAAGCTCTTTTCTCAAAGCTCCACAGCTCTGATTCTTCTAGTTGCCCCGGCTGTTTGAAAAATGATCACTCCCCAAGGACAGATCTTGACAATGTCCTTTTAATTGTACTCTTTTCAAAAAATCTCCTTTCTCAGTTAAAAAAGACAAGGCATGATGAAGACCTGCTCTAGCCCATACTGGGCGGTGATCTCGGTCCTGGGGGAGGCCAGGCCGGACTCTTCCAAGGCCTCCTCCCTGGGCAGTCCCAGCAATGGGGCCAGTGGCAGGGCAGGTTCTCCCTGCCAGAACCCGATCCTAGCCCTTCAGAAGGACTGGACCTCTGTGTCCCTTCAGTGGGAAGCCACCTTGGACACACGCAGTCATTCAGGTGGACATAAGGCCACTCTTCTCGCCCTTGACCTTGAGGAACTCAGCCATGCTGGAGAAATACTTCTGGTTGGCCTCAGCCACCTTCTTCTCTGCCGCCTGTGGGTTCACAATCTCCAGGCCCTGGGCAGGTGAGGGAGAGAGGATGATGGGTTAGGTGAGGAGAAGGCCCCAACTGTGACCCATCAGAGCCCCCCAGGCCCTTCCCCATGGCACTCAGGCCTTGGTGGGCATGAGACAGTTTGCCTGTCCCTGGAGTTGCCCTGTCTTGGGAGATTCTGACTCAGTGGGTCTAGAGGGAGAGGGTGGGGAGGAACCAGGGCGCCTGGATTTGTACGAAGTTCCTCAGGGGTGCTAAAAACAACCAATGCTTGAGGACAGCCAATCCTGCCCAGTTTCTGCATAAGGAAACTGAGTCCCTGGGGGACATGGCTGGCCCGAGGTCCTAGCACAAATCACACCAACACCACTGACGATCATAGTGGCAGCAATGGGAGCCAACACCTGGCTGGCACTTCCTAAATATTTTCAAGGCAACAGAGCGAGCCCCCGTCTCTAAAAATAATAACAGGACCCAGTCATTGGGCTCTAATGGTGAGCCCAGTGCCAAGTGCTTCCTGTGCGTTCTTTTCAGTCCTGAGCACCTCATGATGGAGGAGGGGAGGCTTGGAAAGGCACAGCCACTGGCCTCATCTTCTCAAAGAGGCCCTCCCTGGCTGCTCCGAAACGAGAGCCTCCCCTGTCCCACCTCCTACCTTCCACCTCCTCCCCTCCCTGGCATTTCTGCCTTCTTTTTTTTTTTTTTGAGACAGAGTCTGGCTCTGTCGCCCAGGCTGAAGTGCAGTGGCGCGATCTCGGCTCACTGCAAGCTCCGCCTCCCGGGTTCACGCCATTCTCCTGCCTCAGCCTCCCAAGTAGCTGGGACTACAGGCGCCCGCCACCACGCCCGGCTAAGTTTTTGTATTTTTAGTAGAGACGGGGTTTCACCGTGTTAGCCAGGATGGTCTCGATCTCCTGACCTCATGATCCACCTGCCTCGGCCTCCCAAAGTGCTGGGATTACAGGCGTGAGCCACCGCGCCCGGCCTGGCATTTCTGCCTTCTACTACACTGGGCATCTTACTGAGCTGTCTGCGCCCAGCCTGGCATTTCTGCCTTCTCCTACACTGGACATCTTACTGAGCTGTCTGCGCCCGGCCTGGCATTTCTGCCTTCTCCTACACTGGACATCTTACTGAGCTGTCTGCGCCCGGCCTGGCATTTCTGCCTTCTCCTACACTGGACATCTTACTGAGCTGTCTGCGCCCGGCCTGGCATTTCTGCCTTCTCCTACACTGGACATCTTACTGAGCTGTCTGCGCCCAGCCTGGCATTTCTGCCTTCTCCTACACTGGACATCTTACTGAGCTGTCTGCGCCCGGCCTGGCATTTCTGCCTTCTCCTACACTGGACATCTTACTGAGCTGTCTGCGCCCGGCCACCCACTGGCTCCAAGAAGGTAAGACTTGTCTCTCATTCGTTGCTTCATCCCCAGAGCCGGGAACACTGACAGAACTCAGCAGGTGCTGCGTAGACACCCGCTGACTGGGCAGATGAGCTCGCTGCTGTCTCGCCTCCGTGGTGCAGGCTCGCCCTGCTCTGTGGATGGTAAACCGAGGCTCCGACGATGCGGTGACTGCCATGCTCCACGCTGCTCACTGCTGACTGGCTGGGGCCTGGACCCACACTTGACATCCAAGCCCGCCTAGCCGGGAACTTTCTCGAGTGGGGTCCTGAGGTTACCTTAACCGTCCTGGCCGTTTTGAACTGGAGGGCCTGGAGGCTGAGCAGTGTTACCCGCTCACAGCCCGACAGAGGAACTGGGTGCCCTGAACACAGCTGTGGGCCTGGTTCTAAAGCAGTGCGTGCTCACGAGGACTGCTCAGCGCTGGGCTCTCGTCTCTGCTAACCTCTTCCTGTGTGCCAGGAGCTGTCTACGTCCTCTGCATACCTCGTCACCACACCCTCCACAACAGCCCCATGAGGAGACTCATCCTGGCCTTCTTCACAGGGGCAGAGGGCAAGGGGCCTTGCCAAGGTCTCAGGGCTGGGGACAGAGCCGGCCCAGGGGAGGTACCTGGAGTGGGGTGAAGGCCACGCTGGAGGCCGTGCCCGAGGAGCGGTCGCGGATGGTGGACTTCCCGCCATATACGACGCTCTGCTTCTGCAGGGTCCGCTGTGGGGAGGACAGGGAGGCTGCGATCTGGGCTCCCCCCACCTTGTGTCCCTCGGTCCCCAGCCCCACCTGGGTCTGGCCCATACCTGCAGCGTCTTGGAGATCCTGGCCTTGGTGGCCTCGTTTACCTGTGTCTGCCGCACACGCCCACTGCCCGACTTGCCCAGGTGGCCCAGGCTGAATCCCAGGTCCTCCTGGTAGGCGTCCTCCTCGATCTAGGGGGAAGAGGAGGCGCCCTGCAGTTCAGCGACCAGGCCCTGCCCTCCAGCCACCGAGGCACCCCCTCCACCAGCCGGAAGCCCAGCGGTCACCAGCCGGCCGGTCCCACGGGCACCTGCTCCGGTACCCACTCGGCCCGGCTGAGGCCTGGGGGCCCACACACGCGGGGGATGCCGGGGAGCCTGAGAGGGGCCCGGTCCCAGCACTGCTCTGTGAGCTCAGAGTTGGGAGGCCATTCCTTCCTTACTCGTGTGGGTCGGGGGATGTCAGGAACCAGAACAGGTTTAATAGGATGAGGTGGCCTCTGAGTTCGGTCCTGCAGGACCAAGGGGATGACGCTGGGATAACAGAGGAGACTGGCGGGGCCCAGGGACGGGGCGGCCGTGCAGCAGGGCACTAAGGAGCCTCTGGGCAGGGAGGAACCGGCCAAGGAGCCCGGGGCGATGGGAAGCCGCGGGGGCTCTAAGCAGCGGAGACACAGGCTCCAAGGGCCGCGAGGGTCGCTTTGGGGCTGAATGGATGGAAACGAGAATAGAGGCCGGGGGGGAGGAGGCTGGGGCAGCGCCCTAGACATGAGCCAGGGCCACAGGACGAGAGGAGGGGCGGTGGCAGGAGGCAGAGGGCGGTGGCGGCTGGCTGGCTGTGGGGTTGAGGAGGGCGCTCTGGGAGTCTGACCTCTCCGAAGCTCATACGGTTGGCCTGCTTCCGGATCTCCGTCAGCCCCAGCCGCTCCTTCATCTTGCGGTACCTGGGGACGGGTGGGTGGGCGGCGCCAGGGAGTCGGCTGGGAGGAGGACGCCGGCTTCTCCCCTCCATGACCCCCATGCCTACCGGACCCCCAGGGCCCCTCACCTGCGGCCGCCTCGCTTCTTCCGCTGTCCATCCAGGGGCGCAGGCAGCGGCTTCACCTGCTTCACAGGCGGCGGCTCCTGCCACTTGTCGAATTTGCGCTCGATCTCATCCTTCAGTTCGTAGCCCACCTGGGGAGGGCGAGGGGGAGGTCCTGCAGCTGCTCGCGTGGGCTGCCCACCCAGGCCTCCTCTGAGCGGACCCCCCGAGTATCCACGTGCCTTAGTTAAATCAGCACCTAATGCTGCCTCACCGCCACCCCCTTTCTTTTTCTTCTTGGTGTTGACTTAGCACCGCTAGACGCAGGACAGAGTTCACCTGTTG
Source organism: Homo sapiens (assembly GCF_000001405.40). NCBI lineage: Eukaryota > Metazoa > Chordata > Mammalia > Primates > Hominidae > Homo > Homo sapiens. Next base: position 102,367 of record NW_003571055.2, on the reverse strand, counting down.
ACTGTCTCTTTGACCCGGCCCCAACAAGAATGTCCACGCCACGGGGCAGGGGTCCTGTCTGTGCTACTCACAGCTGCACCCCCACACCCAGACCAGGGGTGAGATGGGGAGAGGGAAAGGAGAAGGGGACACGGAACACCTGAACGCTGTGCCAGGCCGGGTGCTTGGCAAACGACAGTTCACAAGACAGAAAACGTCTCCTCTCCCGAGTACATCTACCAAGGAAGACAGAAGGTAACTGAATAATTACTTGAATAACATCCCCTGTTGCAGCGGGGACAGATCCTGGTGTGGAAGGCAAATTACGCCCCCACCAACACACACATGCCCAAAGAGGCCCATGTTCTAATTCCCAGAATCACAGGGCAAAAGGGACGTGAAGAGGTTAAGAAGGATTTTAAGGATTGTGAGCTGGGAAGACTATCCTGGACCATCTGAGTAGGCTCAGTATAGCCACAGGGGCCCTTAAAATAGAAGAGGGGAACAAAAACAGAGGCCGAGATATGAAGACAGAAGCAGAGTCAGAGAGAGGTCTGAGGGTGCTATGTGGCTGGCTCCGCAGACAGAGGGAGGGCCACGAGCTAAGGGGTGCCAGTGACCCCTAGAAGCTGGAAAAGACAAGGGAATGGATTATCCCTTGAATCCCCCAGAAGGAACGCTCCAGGATGACACCCTGACTTCAGCCCAGTGAAACTCATTTTGGACTTCTGACCTACAGGACCACAGATAATAAACCTGTACTGTTTTTTGTTTTTGTTTTTAGATGGAGTCTCGCTATGTCACCCAAGCTGGAGTGCAATGATGCAATCTCAGTTCACTGCAACCTCCGTCTCCCAGGTTCAAGCAATTCTCCTGCCTCAGCCTCCTGAGTAACTGGGATTACAGGTGCGTGCCACCACACCCGGCTAATTTTGGTAGAGATGGGGTTTCACCATGTTGGCCAGGCTGGTCTCAAACTCCTGACCTTGTGACCCGCCCACCCTGGCCTCCCAAAGTGCTGGGATTACAGGCGTGAGCTACTGCACCCGGCCACACCTGCACTGTTTGAAGCCAGTAGGTTCATGCTACCTTCCAACAGCAGACCTAGGAAACCCCACTGGGGAAGGGGGTGCCTGACCCCAGGGAGGGTGGGCAGAAGCACTGCCTCCGCCTTGGTAGGACAGTGCTCGCTGGGGTGGGCTCCCTGCTGAGGGTCTCCCTGCAGAGACACCCCAGGCCCAGAGGAAAAGACGCCCGGCCGCCCCTCACCTTTCCCTCCTCACCTTCCCTTCTGTGCTCTCGTGGAAACTGTCCACACGGGCTGCCAGTGTGCACTTGGCGGCCACCAGCCGGGCCGCTTTCCGCCGCAGATCCTGGAGCAACGGAAAACGGGGGTGGAATCTGTGTGAGACAGACAGACAGAGGTAACAGCAAAGCAACCGCGCGCGCTCCTCCTCTGGCTCTACCTGGGGTCCTGGAAGGGGGCTTTCCACCCTTGGGCTCTAGAGGTGTGTGCTCTCAGCTCCTACTTCACAGGAAGAGGGGATGAGGGCAGGGCACAGAGCCATGTCCCAGCTGATAAGTGGCCATCAGGTAAGGATGACAGTAAGGCACGCTGACAACGAGGACGGTGGTGACTGTGGAGACGCCGGGGGGAGTGCACTCGGCCTGGATGCCAGCCCCATGCTAAGCACGCCCCTCGGATCATCTCATCAAATATTCAAATATTGGGCTGGTGTGATCATTGCACCCCCTTTTCAGATGTGGAAACCAAGGCTTCAAGTCATGTGGCCAGGGAGACAGCCAGCAGGTGATGGAGCCAGGGTTCCAATCCAAACTGCAAACAGAGCCCAGCTGTCAGCCACAGTGAAGCGATGGCCAGCCCTGGCCTCCCTTACAGGCCTGTGGTGTCTACGGCCTGTGCCTGGACCGATGTGAGATGGCCAAATGAAGAGGCAGAGGCCTGGGTGACAAGACATCAGGCTCCCTGGGGCAGGTTTAACCCATATGCCCAGGGCTGTGAGGCGGTGGCGATGGCAGGGGTGCAGTGAGGCAGCTGGAGCCCCGAGCCCCAGGCCCACCCGTCCTGGGTTCTATCGCCCACTCTCTCTCCTCCCAGGATGGGGTGACCTGCCAGCCTCCCTGGGTGTGTTCCAGTAGCAGTGCCTGACCTAAAGGGTCGCAGAAAAGACCACAAAAAAAACCCCACACAGGGCTGGGGGGTGGGGCCAGGAAGTGCCTGCCCAGCCTTGGCCATCAGTGCTATTGTTCTCCCCATCCCTGGGGGAGGCCAGGCAGGGCACAGGGCCGTGAGCCTGAGGTAACTCGCCACAGTCGGACAGAGCAGGGTCTGGACCCAGGCCTGTCTGTCCCAGAACCTGTCTTGTTTTTTTTTTTTTTTGAGACAGAGTCTCACTCTGTCACCCAGGCTGGAGGGCAGTGGTATGATCTTAGCTCACTGCAACCTCCACCTCCTGGGTTCAAGCGATTCTCCTGCCTCAGCCTCCCAAGTAGCTGGGATTATAAGTGTGTGCCACTATACCCAGCTAGTTTTTTGTATTTTTGGTAGAGATGGGGTTTCACCATGTTGGCCAGGCTGGTCTCGAACACCTGACCTCAGGTGATCTGCCCGCCTCGGCCTCCCAAAGTGCTGGGATGACAGGCACGAGCCACTGCGCCCCGCCAGGCTAGCGGGCCTGTGTGTGTGCTGTCAGGCGTCGATGCTGGGATGGTGATGTGTCCCGACTGCAGGGAGAGGACCCGGGAAGCTCCGAGGTTGGTGACCTCTCCTGCCCCTCCTGTGTGTCTCTCCCCATGGCTGATGTGCAGCCCTCAGTGGATTCTGTGAGTCTTTCTAGTGAATGGTCAAACCTGAGGGTGGTCTTCGGAGCAGTTGCACGCTAACCCGACGCTGCTTGTCGTGAGCTAGGCCTGAACTGTAAGTGCTTCATGTGCACTGAGCCCTCGTCCCAACTCATGAAGCAGGCGCTGTGCTCCCATTTGATAGGGGAGGAGACTGAGGCACAGGGCGCTCATGCCTCTTGCCCACAGTCACCTGACTGGTGGGTGCTGGAGCTGGTCTGCTGCAGAGCCCTGGCTCTCACGTCCCATGCCACCCTGTTCCCAGCTCCTGAGTGCTACCGTCAGCTGGGCCAGATGGTGGGTGGCTGCTCAGGCTGTCTGGGCACAGCGGAAGGCTCCAGGGGGGCCGGGGGAGGGGCCATGACGCAGTGGGCTCACCGGTGGCAGGGACTGCACGATGTCACTGTGGTAGATGTAGCCGGTGTGGGGCAGCACTGAGGTAGACGAGAAGCCCGACAGCGTCTTGCGCTGGGCCCCGAGCAGCATGATGTTGCAGGCGGGCATCTTGGAGAGGTTGGTCAGGCCGCCGGCCACACCTGCGGTGGGAGGGAGGGAGGAAGGGGGGGCGGTCAGAAGAAAGCAGAGAGGTGGGGGTGAGTAAATCTGCCTGGGGGCTCGACGTGTGCTGGGCACCTTTACATGAAGTTCTGGTTGGATTCCTCGATGGCCCTGCCAGGCGGGCGACCTGGCCCATTCCGCAAGGGGCAGATGCAAAGGAGGCTCAGAGAGGGAGGGCAGCTGGCCTGGGGGTGCAGGGAGGAGGCCCCCAACAGGAAGCTGACCACCACGTTTGTGCTAAGCCACACTAACGCCGTTCCAGGGATGGCTGTGTTTTGGAACCATTTTCACCAAACCAGGAGCTCCCTGACAACAGGGCCTGGGTGTGGTCATCTCTGGGTTTCCGGCACAGGGGAGGGAGAAGGAGCTGTGGGTGAGTGTTTTTCCCACAGACGAGGCTTTGCTGTGTGCCAGGCTGGCTGACCTCTGTGATGTCCAGGGAGACGGGGTGCTGAGGTCCAGGTGCCAAAGCCCCCATTCTACAGAAAAGGATGTAGCTTTCCCAAGGTCACAGTGTCAGCAGACCCCCGCTCCATGGGACCCAGCCCGGGGACTCACCCATGATCTTGGCGGCCGTGGATGCCCCGATAATGATGGACAGGTTGGGTGCGATGAAGGACATCCGGGACTCCACATACTCGTAGATGCGGTGCTTGGAGGCGTTCAGCTCCAGCGCCATGTCGCAGGCCTCCTCCAGCCGCTCCAGCTCCTCCTCCGACAGCTGCTGCCTGCAGGGGCGGGTGGGCCCAGCCTCCTGGATCTCCCGCCTGCCTGGTGTGCCCAGCCCCAGCCCTCTCGGTTCTGTGTGTGTGTGTGCATGTGTGTATGTGTGTGTGCGTGTGTACACCTGCGTGTGTAGCTCCAGCCTAATCCCCAATCCCATTAGGGCCCGGCGCCTCCCTCGAAGCGGACATACCCCTGGGTGGTGGAGGCGGTGACGCTGACGACCATGATGGTGGCATTGGTGAGGATCTGCTGCAGGTTCTCATTGTTCTTGCACTTGTCCAGGCTGTTGCCCAGCTCCTGGGGGCGAGCAGAGAAGATAGGGGAGGCTCGGGAACTCAGGAAGGCTCGAGAACCTCTCTTGCTCAGCACCTCCTCAGGTCTCTTCTTAGGGACACTGGGACAGTCAGGGTCTCTGCACTGGGGGCCTCTCCTGCCTCCACCGCCTGAAGCATCCACACCATTCCTGCCTCCACCACGTCAAGCATCCACACCATCTGCCCTGCTTTCGCTGACCTGGAAACGGAGCCCGGGCAGAGTGGCGTCTGGAAAGACTGTGGCCTCACAAGCCTCTGGCCTGCGTCAAGTCGGAGTGCAAATCCGCGGCCTCGCTTCCCTGCAGGGGCTTCCCCACCGCCATCCTAATCCTTTCCTGGACATGCGTGGGGACCTCCTCCTCTCCCCGCCCTCACGCACACCTGCCCCTCTTTTCCGAAACCCTTCCTTGGCTTTCTCCTAAGACCCAAAGGCTGGACGTGATCCGACCTCTTCCCCGTCCCCTCCTTCCCCGCCTCACTTCCTCCCCACTTGTTCCCTCTCCAGCTCTCTGCACTTAGACGTCTCTCTGCCCCAAATCTCCGTGTGCCTGCCCTGTGTCAACCTTCGGATGTCAACTCCAATGCCACCGGCTCCAACCACAGCGGGAGCAGCGTGGGTCAGGCCAGCGGGGAAGCCCTCTCGGGAGACTGGGGTTGGAGGGGAGCCCTGAGAAAGTCCTGTCCAGGCTCCGTCCCTCCCACGCTGGGCAGAGCAGACCACTGAGCCCTCGTCCACTCCTCTCCATCGTCTCCAGACCCTGAGGCCTCTGGGAGGGGGTCCGAGAGTGAGCCCCGCCTGCCCCTTCACGCCAGCAGAAGCACCCCACCTTCTCTGCGCTCACCTTGACCGTGCGGATGTAATCCAGTGCATTGGGGACCAAGGACTCCAGTTCAGGGAATCTCTTTGAGTACTTATCCCGGATGAACTTATGGATGATGTCTAGGGTAAACGGGACAGGAGGTTGTCGGGTGAGATGGAAGGTAGACTCTGCTGGTTGGCCCTAACACCCATGTCCCCTTCTTCCTTTAGTAACTGAAGCCCTGGCTTGTGGCCTGGCACACGGGCACCAGCATACAGCCTTTCTCAGCCGTCCTTACCGCTAGGTGTGACCAGGGGAATTAGTTCTGGTCTGTAAAACGTGAGCTGCAGTGACATGTTCTTAAAGAAAAGAAGCGCCTTGCTGGTGGGAATGCGGAGGTGATGGCTGGAGGTGGGGCAGTCACCTCGCACCGTGAGGCAGGTGGCCGACCAACAGGATGGAAAGAGCCGGGGCCCTACAGGCAGCCAAGCGGCCACACCATCCCCGAGTGCTCCTCAGACTCATACGCGAGAGAACGCACTTCCTTCTTATTTCAGCCACTCTGTGACAGCAGGTCAACCTCGATCTGAGCTTGGGCTTAGGGGCAGGACCCTGGGAAAGGCCAGTGGGGAAGGGAGAGGGGGCGTGAGGGACGTCACACGGGGCTGTCTCCGCCTGCCCCCCAGCACTCACTCAGCTCGTTTTCGATCTCCACGGTCAGGTTGTTGGCATCCACGATGACGCGGTATTCAGGCGCGGCCTCCACTGGTCCCATCACTGTGAGGACACGGAGGCATGGGTGTGAGTATCTAAATCCCTACCCCCTCTCGGGTCCCGCAGCTGGAGGAGGCGGAGGATGAAGTTGGGAGGGGTCAGGAAGGAGGGGCTGAAGAGTAAACCAGGGACAGGCTGATGTCTGCAGACATCCCTGAACTTGTGTTCCTGCCTTCAATCCCTCTCCCTCCACACCAGTCTAGACTTGACCCCATCTACCCCAGAACTGACCGTGTGAAACCTCCTACGGCTCCCCACAGCCCCAAGGCTAATGACCGAGTCCTCAGACTGACATTCAGGGCCTCCCCAACTCCGGAAGCTCTGCAGGGACCAGTGCTGTGCCTGCGTTGGCTGTACCCACAGCCGAGTACCCAGGACAGCACCTGGCACACAGGGAGTTCCCCCGTTCCTGTTTGCTGACTCAGCAGCTCTGCAGTCTGGCCTCCCGCCCTTCCCGCCCCATCCTCTCACCACACCTCATTTTATTCCACTCCAGCCATAAAGGAGTGATCACAGTGCCCCAGACACCCACTCCTCCTAGCCTTTTTTTTTTTTTTTGAGACATAATTTCGCTCTGGTTGCCCAGGCTAGAGTATAGTGGCATGATCTCAGCTCACTGCAACCTCCGCCTCCTGGGTTCAAGCGATTCTCCTGCCTCAGCCTCCTGAGTAGCTGGGATTACAGGCATGTGCCACCACGCCCGGCTAATTTTTTTTGTTTGTTTGTATTTTTAGTAGAGACGGGGTTTCACCATGTTGGGCAGGCTGGTCTCGAACTCCCGACCTCAGGTGATCCATCTGCCTTGACCACCCAAAGTGCTGGGATGACAGGCGTGAGCCACCGCGCCAGACCCCTCCTGGCCTCTGCATGTGCTGCTCCCTCTCCCCAGAGCATCCCTTACCCCACGTCTGTTTCTGGAAAACGCTTCTTTGTGCTTTAGTAATAAGAGGTCAGGCACAGTGGCTCATACCTGTAATCCCAGCACTTTGGGAGGCTGAGGCAGGAGAACTGCTTGAGCCCAGGAGTTGGAGAGCAACCTGGGCGACATAGGGAGACCCCATCTCTACACATAATTAAAGAAAAAAAATTAGCCAGGCATGGTGGTGTACACCTGTGGTCCCAGCTGCCTGGGAGGCTGAGGCAGGAACGCCTGAGCCCACAAGGTCAAGGCTGCAGTGAGCTGGGATCGTGCCACTGCATTCTGGCCTGGGTGACAGAGTGAGACCCTGTCTCAAAAAACAAACAAACAAAAAGATGTTGTGTTTAAAAGTCATGCAAATACTAACTGCCTGATGTCACAGCCAGTAGAAGGCAGAGCTCAGATCTGACACCAGGCAGGGCGGCGTCAGAGTCTGCACTCCTAACCCTGATGCTCAAATGGCTCTTTAAGTCCTTAAGACTCAGGCAGCGACTCAGAATCCTTCCCTCCCTTTCTGGAAGGATCAGACGCCTCCTCTGTGTACCCGCAGCACTTGTGCACCTCCAGTAAACAGGGACTGCCACAGCTTGTGAGATGTTTCACCTCTGCCTCCTCAACCAGACACCGGGTGTGACGGGGTCTGACTCCATCCCTGAGCCTGGCCTGACATCAGGAAATGTCACTTTCTGTGTCCCATAACCCTCTGGAGGGAGAAATTCCTTGGCCTGGCATCTGGAACTCTGCAGGATTCTCTCTCCGGATATCTGAGGCCCCGGGCCTGCCGCTGTCTTTCCCTGGGCCCCCTTCTCCCTTTCTTTGCCTGGCACATGCATTCATGCTCTACAGTCCAATTCAGCTATCGATTCTTCCTGACACCTGGGGCAGGGTCAGCCAGTCCCTCCTGTGGCTCCGGTGTCCCCAGCTTGGTACCACCACTGATAGCTGTCTGGAACCTGGCCTGCCTCTTCCACTAGACCTTGAGTACTTTGAGAGCAAAGACCTGGGCGATTCAACTGGGTGCCCAGGTAAACGTTAAAGAAAGCAAGCAGTGAGTCTCCCGAAACTCTGCCCTCTCACTACACTTCTTTCCCCAGAAACCTCCTATGGCTTCCTGTCATCAACAAATTCCATTCAAGAAGAATGGGAAGGCTGGGCGTAGTGGCTCATGCCTGTAATCCCAGCACTTTGGGAGGCCGAGGTGGGCGGATTACTTGAGGTCAGGAGTTCGAGACTAGCCTGGTCAACATGGTGAAACCCCATCTCTACTAAAAAATACAAAATAGCCAGGCATGGTGTTGCATACCTGTAATCCCAGCTATACATAAGGCTGAGGGAGGAGAATCGCTTGAACCCGGGAGGTGGAGGTTGCAATGAGCCAAGAACACATCACTGCACTCCAGCCTGGGCGACAGAGGGAGACTCTATCTCAAGGAAAAAAAAAAAAGAATAGGAATGGTAACAGGACTGCCCTCTTAAGAGTGAGTCTGAGCACTCATGAGATAAGCTAGTGTTCTCTCAATTTGGGCATGAGAAAAGGTTTTAGGTTATTTTTTTTTTTTTTGAGACGGAGTCTTGCTCTGTCGCCCAGGCTGGAGTGCAGTGGCACGATCTCGGCTCACTGCAAGCTCCGCCTCCCAGGTTCACGCCATTCTCCCGCCTCAGCCTCCTGAGTAGCTGGGACTACAGGCACCCGCCACCACGCCTGGCTAATTTTTTGTATTTTTAGTAGAGACGGGGTGTCACCGTGTTAGCCAGGATGGTCTCGATCTCCTGAACTCATGATCCACCTGCCTCCGCCTCCCAAAGTGCTGGGATTACAGGCGTGAGCCACGGCGCCCGGCCTTAGGTGGTTCCTAAATAATTATATATCTATTTTTATACAGTGACTTTGTCTTTGCCAAATGATACCAGTTTTCCATTCATGGTAGCAATTTGCTTCCTTCTCAGATAAATTTAAGAAAAAAAGTCCTAGACTCAAAGAATATGTTAAGCAAATAATAGGATAAGCGGCTTATAGATGTGGCAAAAACCCTGTAACCGGTCATGTGAATCAGTGAAGTCTGGGAAACCTCAAGCTGAGTCCTATCATGATCAGTAAGCTCAGCACACAGGAAGGACTTAAGAAGCATGAGCTTTACAATGCAATATATATTTAGTGGAAAAGGGAACGGGTTGGGGTGAAACAAAAAAAAAAGAAGGCTCTGGAAAAGGCTGAGAAGGAGATATACCCAGCCACAAGCAGCCAGGGAGCCAGGGGGCCTGGCAGGAGAGACAGGAGATGGGGAGGGGCACAGAGTGGGAGGAAGCACCTTCTGAAGCTTTGGCTTGCTTGCTGATATACTCCTCAATCTTCATCATAATCTCAGCAAACTGTAGGAAAGGAGAAGACAGTCAGAATCCAGCACTCTTCAAAAAGAAGCCTGTATCACCCCCTTCTGGGAGATTCTGTCTAGAGCCCCCTGCTAGGAACACCTCTTGTCCTCTTACCATCTTACTATCCCATAGCTTGGCGATGGTCTTGACTGAATCCCCGGAAAGATCCAGCTGTGTCTCCTCCTGCACATCCTCGATCGCTGGCTCCTCTTCTTCCTCCCCATAGCTTCCTCCTTCCTCCTCTTCTGCTGCCTCTTCGAGATCAGCTAAGAGCTCATCTGCCAGAGACATCCCGAGGCCTGGGGAGGGACAGCAGCGTTCCCTAAAAACTTGCCCCGACAAAGTCCCTCCTTATTACTGAGCGATGATTCTCCCCCAGAAGACCCTGGTCCTTCTTTATCAACCCCACTAGCATGCAGGCTCCACGACAACAGGTGCTTTAGTTTGTTTTGTTCACTGGCGAGTCTCCAGCTCCGACCTGTGCAAGACGCAGCACACCCCTATGACCGCCACCTTGCTAAGACTTACTGGAACCAAGTGGTGTAGATTCCAAATGCATTTGCAAACTTTCTTATTCCTTTCTTGCCTTTAGCCTTGAAAACATACTTTGAAATTCTTTGTTTCCCTCCTTTCCCACTAGATACTGTCTTGCACTGCTGGCTTATCTATGTGCTTACTTAGAAGTTCCAGGGGCTAATCTTTATTTATTTATTTTTTAAAGATGGAGTCTGGCTCTGACACCCAGGTTGGAGTGCAGTGGCGCAGTCTTGGCTCACTTGCAACCTCCACCTCCTGGGTTCAAGCGATTCTCCTGCCTCAGCCTCCTGAGTAGCTGGGACTACAGGCACCTGCCACCATGCCCAGCTAATTTTTTTTTTTTTTTTTTGTAGAGTCAAGGTTTCACTATGTAAGCCAGGCTGGTCTTGAACTCTTGACCTCAAGTGAGCGACCCACCTTGGCCTCCCAAACTGTTGGGATTACAGGCGTAAGCCACCGCGCCTCGCCGCAGGGGCTAATCTTGAAACAAACTAGGTATGGAAACCCAGCTGCAAAACTCCAGAGATCACCTCAAGGCGATCAATCTACAACGTGGCCATTGTTGACTTGACACCAGCCCATGCTCCAGGTGGCCCGTGACTCAAGACAGCCTTCGGAGCAAGACACACATACCTTGTACCCAGCACCACTCCTGTATGCCTCCCATTCAAAGTTCCCCTTTTTAAGCCCCTCTCCCCAGCCTAAAGCTTGAAATGGTCTTCTAAAGACATTAGCTTGGCCATTTCTCATCTGCGAGCATTTGATCAGTAAAGCTGCTTTACTTTCACCACCCCCCACTTCCTCTGCCTCTGAGTAGCAGAAACTTGAGTTGGTTACATTATCGGTCTCTTCCCGCCTCCAGGTCTTTGTACAGGAGTCCCTTGTAACTAAAGTGGCCCTTTCCTTCACTTTGTTTTTTCTTTTCTTTTCTTTTTTTTGAGACCATGTCTTGCTCTGTCACCTAGGCTGCAGTGCAGTGGCGCCATCATAGCTCACGGCAGCCTCGATCACCTGGGCTCAAGCGATTCTCCCGCCTCAGCCTCCCGATAGCTGAGATGACAGGCACGCACCAGCACGCCCGGCTAATTTTTAAATTTTTCTGTAGAGACAGGGTCTCACTGTGTTGCTCAGGCTGGTCTCAAACTCCTGGGCTCAAGCGATCCTTTCGCCTGGGCCACCCAAAGTGCTGGGATTACAGGAGTGAGCCATGGCGTCTGGCTCTCCTCACTTCTTAGTAGCCCAGCATCTCCTCAGCCTTCAGCTCTCACGTTCCACCTCCCTGACCCACACGCCCCACTCTAGACTACAGGAGGTTGCTTTGTGATAACGTGTCCCGCACGCTCTGCGTGTCTACAGTAAGGCACTTCACACATTTGTGATTAATGAAGTAATTATTTGATAAAGCCTGTCTGCCAGGCATCAACCAAAGCTCTAAGAGGGTAGCGAACAATTTTTGCTCCTTCCACATCCCCAGGGCCACACCATGGTAGGCGCATATTAAGACTTTTGGGTAAACAGGCTGTAAAAGGCCGGGAGCGGTGGCTCATGCCTGTAATCCCAGCACTTTGGGAGGCCCAGGCGGGTGGATCATCTGAGGTCAGGAGTTGGAGACCAGCCTGGCCAACATAGTGAAACCCCGTCTCTACTAAAAATACAAAAAACTAGCCGGGCGTGGTGGTGCGCGCCTGTAATCCCAGCTACTCGGGAGGCTGAGGCAGGAGAATCGCTTGAATCCGGGAGGCGGAGGTTGCAGTGAACCGAGATCGCGCCACTGCACTCCAGCCTGGGCAACAAGAGCGAAACTCCGTCTCAGACAAAACAAACAAACAACTGGCCAGGCGCGGTGGATCATGCCTGTAATCACAGCACTTTGGGAGGCCGAGGCGGGCGGATCACGAGATCAGGAGTTCGAGACCAGCCTGACCAACATGGGGAAACCCCGTCTCTACTAAAAATACAAAAATTAGTCAGGGGTGGTGGCGGGCGCCTGTAATCCCAGCTACTCTGGAGGCTGAGGCAGAAGAATCGTTTGAACCCGGGAGACGGAGGTTGCAATGAGCCGAGATCGCGCCACTGCTCTCCAACCTGGGCAACAGAACGAGACTCCGTCTCAAAACAAACAAACAACAAAAAAACAAAAACCAAGCTGTAAAGACCCGCCTTTTTCCTCACACACTTCTTCTCCCAGACCCAGGAGCCCAGCCTCCCGCTCCCCGTGGTCTCCATCACACTCACCTCTCCTCTCCGCGCACCACTGTTTCTAGCGTTAGTCGCTCACCGATGACGTCTCACTCTCGCGCCGTTATAGAGGCAAAGCTACTCTCTGATTGGTCCCCGCTCGCGATGTTCCTGGCCGCATTTGAAACAACAACTTTATTAGCACCTGGCACTAGGCGGAGAGAGGCGGTAAGCCGCGAGGAGGAAAGGGACTCACGTCCCGCTGTGGACCGATCCTGCTAAGCAGAGAATCGCTGTGGCCGGACGACGGGGCGTCGAGACAAGAAGAAAGACGTTGGCAACTCAGAGGACTGGTTGCGGCGTTAGACAAGAAAGCAAGGCCTTTAAGCAGGGATTCGGGGTGGACGTGGGGGTGGGCCGAAGCGAAGCCGGAAACAGGAAACTACAACTCCCACAAGGCCTAGGGCCACGTCCCGCCGTCCTCGGCTGCTGAGCCTGATGGGACAAGTAGTTTTGCGAACGGCTTAACCTACAGATTGAAGAGGTCGGAAGCTCTGAGGCCCGGGGCTTCCGGAGGTCGCGGAGATGGAATTGGAGCAGAGAGAAGGGTATGTGGCTGAGCCCTTGTGAAAAAGTGCGAATCCCAGAAAACAGTGCAGCTGCATTGTGTGCAACCATATGAGCTTTTACGCTGAGGTCTGATGGGGGTTGTAGTTCATGCAACTGCTTTACCTTAGAACCCTTTTATGGACTGGGGTCATCCTGAGGGAGGAGAAGGTTAGGGGTTTGGACTGCTGGATCTGACAGACTAGGAGGTTGGAAGCCAGGACTCTTGCGTCTGGTTGAGGGTTGGGGCTTGGACTCCCTGGGTCCTTGGAGAGAAAAAGTCTGGAGGTCTGGACTCTTGCATCCTGGGAGGAGGGGGTCAGGGCTTGAACCCTGTGGGTGCTGCGAAGGGTGGGTTGCGGACTTGGACTTCTGGGTCTGAGGGAGGAGGGCTGGGAGCTGGATTCTACGGTCTGAGGGAGGAGGGGCTGGGGGCCTGGATTCTAGGATCTCAGGGAGGAGGGGTTGGGGTCTGGGCTCCTGGTTCAGTGGGAGAAGGGGCTGGGGGTCCAGGATCCAGGGCCCCTGAGCCTTTCCCTGCCTCTCAGGACCATGGCAGCCGTGGGCTTTGAGGAGTTCTCAGCGCCGCCAGGCTCAGAGTTGGCGTTGCCTCCCCTATTTGGTGGCCACATCCTGGAGAGCGAGCTGGAGACGGAAGTGGAGTTTGTGTCAGGTGGTCTGGGCGGCTCAGGGCTCCGGGAGCGAGATGAAGAGGAAGAGGCAGCCCGGGGTCGGCGGCGGCGCCAGCGGGAATTAAATCGCAGAAAGTACCAGGCACTAGGTCGGCGCTGCCGGGAGATCGAGCAGGTAGGTGAGTGCGGATCCCCCGGTTTTGGGGTCCCCTGGCCTAAACTACCGCCCCCCGCAATCTCTGCCTTTCCACATGCCCAGCCTTTCTTGGCTTGCTGATATATTCAGTCATTTAGCTTATATATTCAGTCATTTAGCATGCATTATGTGTCTGGCCCTGTGCCGGGCCCCTGGAAGGGCCATCTCCCGTGGAGCTTCCCTGACAACGCAGATGGGTTCTCTGATGTCTCCCGGGGGCCTCTCAATGCGTGGCACCGCTCACAGGTGAAAGCCCAAGCTCTTCACATCTCCCATACCCCTGCCAGGATTCACTCCTCTCGACTCATTCATTCCGCCTCTTGAGTGTCTCTGGACCCTTCTCCTCTCCTCCATCCCTATGGCTGCCATTGCAAACTCCAGCTGTCTGGGCTGAATGACTGCAATAGCCTCCTTGCTGAGAATAAGGATGGGCTGGGCATGGTGGCTCACGCTTGTAATCCTAGCACTGGGAGGCTGAGGCAGGCGGATCACCTGAGGTTAGGAGTTCGAGACCAGCCTGGCCAACATGGTGAAACCCCATCTCTACTAAAATACAAAAAAATTAGCCAGGTGTGGTGGTGCGCACCTGTAGTCGCAGCTACTAGGGAGGCTGAGGCATGAGAATTGCTTGAACCCGGAAGGCGGAGGTTGCAGTGAGCCAAGATCATGCTGCTGTACTCCAGCCTGGGTGACAGAGTGAGACTCCGTCTCAAAATCAATCAATCAATCAATGAGGATTAAACAGCAGGCAGGGCTCAGATCTTGGCAGGCCAGGAACACCAGGACAAGAAGTCTGGATATTTTTTTTTCCTTGAGAGTGAAGGAGCCACTGAAGGGTTTCAAATGGGGGAGGAACAGCATCAGGTCTGGATGCCTGAAACTCTGAAGACAGTTGTATTAGTCTGCTTGGACTCCCAGAACTTATCACAAATAGGGTCCCTCAAGCACAGAAATTCCTGTCTGACAGTTCTGGAGGCTAGACATCCAAGGCAAGGTGTCGACAGGGTTGTGAGAATCTTCCAGGCCTCTCCCCTGGCTTCTGGAGGTTTCTGGCAGTCATTGGCACGTACAAACATCACCCTGATCTCCGCCTTCATCTTCACATTGCTGCTCCCTGTGTGTGTGTCTGTGTCCCAATTTACCCTTTTTATAAGGACTCCAGTCATACTGGATTAGGGCCCACCCACTGGCTTCATTTGAACTTGATTACTTTTGTAACGACACTGTCTCCATATAAGGTGATCCTGAGGTACTGGGGGTTAAAGCCTCAACACCCTCTTTTGGGGGAAATAATTCAACTTTTTTTTTTTTTTTTTTTTTTTTTTTGAGGTGGAGTCTCGCTCTTGTCTCCCAGGCTGGAGTGCAATGGCACCATCTCAGCTCACTGTAACCTCCACCTCCTGGGTTCAAGTGATTCTCCTGACTCAGCCTCCCTAGTAGCTGGGATTACAGGCGCCCGCCACCACACCCAGCTAATTTTTCTATTTTTAGTAGAGACAGGGTTTCACCATGTTGGTCAGGCTGGTCTCAAACTCCTGACCTCAGGTGATCTGCCCACCTCAGCCTCCCAAGGTGCTGGGATTACAGGCTTGAGCCACCACGCCTGGCCTTCAACTCTTTTTCTCTTTCTTGAGACAGGTTCTCACTTTGTCACCAAAGCTGGAGTGCAGTGGCGCAATCTCAGCTCATTGCAGCCTCAGTCTCCCAGGTTCAAGCAGTCCTCCTGCCTCAGCCCCCAAAATAGCTGGGACTACAGGCACACACCACCACACCTGGCTAATTTTTGTACTTTTTGTAGAGATGGGGTTTTGCCATGTTGCCCAGGCTGGTCTTGAACTCCTGACCTCAAGTGATCCACTCGCCTTGACCTCCCAAAATGCTAGGATTACAGGCATGAGCCACCACATCTGGCCTCAATTCTTAATGACAGTATTGGGGAGTTCTGTAAGGAGGAAGGCTAGAGGCCAGGGGCATATTCCAAACCCTGTTTAACAGACAGACACCAAGGCCCAAACGGACTCAACTGGAGCCTCTGCCATTAATCCACCCCCAGGAATAGATTACTACTATTTTACAAGTATAGAAAATCAAGGCTCAGAGAGGTTAAGTAATGCACCCAAGCTCAGAGCTCAGCAGTGGCAGATCTGAGATTTTTTTTTTTTTTTGAGACAGGGTCTTTCTCTGTTGCCCAGGCTGGAGTGCAGTGGCATGACTGTGGCTCACTGCAGCCCCAACATCCTGGACTCTAGCAATCTCAGCCTCCGAAGGAGCTGGGACTACAGCCACCAAGCCCAGCTAATTTTTTTGGTTAGTTTTTGAGTGTTGGGGTCTCACTCTGTTGCCCAGGCTGGTGTCGAACTCCTGGCCTCTCAAAGTGCTGGGATTATAGGCATGAGCCACTGTGCCAAGCCAGAGCCAAAACTTGAACTCTTTTTTTTTAGATGGATTTTCGCTCTTGTTGTCCAGGCTGGAGTGCAATGCTGCAATCTCAGCTCACTGCAACCTCCGCCTCCTGGGTTCAAGCGATTCTCCTGCCTCAGCCTCCCGAGTAGCTGGGATTACAGGCATGCGCCACTACACCTGGCTAATTTTGTATTTTTAGTAGAGACAGGGTTTCACCACGTTAGGCTGGTCTCAAACTCCTGACCTCAGGTGATCCGCTCGCCTTGGCCTCTGAAAGTGCTGGGATTACAAGCGTGAGCCACCGTGCCTGGCACTTTTTTTTTTTTTTTTCTTTTGAGACAGAGTCTTACTCTGTCACCCAGGCTGGAGGGCAGTGGTGTGATCTCGGCTCACTGCAACCTCCAGCTCCTGGGTTCAAGCGATTCTCCTGCCTCAGCCTCCTGAGAAACTGGGATTACAGGCATGCGCCACCATACCCAGCTAATTTTTGTATTTTTCTTTTTTTTTTTTTTTTTTTAGTAGAGATGAGGTCTCATCATGTTGGCCGGGCTGGTCTGGAACTCCCGACCTCAAACTCTTGAGTAGCTGAGATTACAGGCATGTGCCACAACATCCGGCCAATTTTTGTATCTTTAGTAGAGACGGGGTTTCACCATGTTGGCCAGGCTGGTCTTGAACTCCTGACCTCAAGTGATCTGCCCGCCCCGGCCTCCCAAAGTGCTGGGATTACAGGCGTGAGCCACTGTGCCCCGCCCGGAACTCAGGTCTTTCTGACCCAGGAGCAGCACCTGCTTCAGCCACTGTCTTTGGGTCCCTGTTTGGCTGAGTCACATCTCTCCCTCCATGTCTAGGCTGGAGTCCTCAGAAGCTGCGTGCAGGGCTGTCCCCTCAGCCTGGCATACTTTCCTCCTGTCACCCCTTTGTCTCCTCCTTATTCAAGTCTGGGCCCACGGGCCTTCTCTGCAGGTCGTAACTAAAGTCGCACCTCCTGCCCTAACCTCCAGCATGTCTGACTCTTTGGTATTCACCAAGCACTTCTCACTTTGCAAAGTCATTGATTCTGCAAATGTTCATGGAGGATGTACTACGTGCCAGGCTCTGGTTAAGGCACGGGATGTAGAAACAAGTTGCTGTCGTTTTTCAGCTCATGCTCTGGCTGGAGAGGCGGTCAGTCAGCAGAATAAGCAAAGAGGCGGAGAGGCTGCGTCCTGCCTCCTCAGATGAGCACTAGGAGGAAATAAAGCCAGGAGTGAATGGCCGGGTGGGGTTCTGGCATGGGAAGGGGGGTCGGGTGTGTTGCAATTTTTTTTTTTGAAACAGAACCTCGCTCTGTTGCCCAGGCTGGAGTGCAGTGGGGTGATCTCAACTCACTTCACCCCTCCACCTCCCAGGTTCGTGCGACTATCCTGCAGGCACCTGCCACCACGCCCAGCTAATTTTTTGTATTTTTAGTAGAGATGGGGTTTCATCATGTTGGCCAGGCTGGTCTCGAACTCCTGACCTCAGGGGACCTACTCGCCTCGGCCTCCCAAAGTGCTGGGATTACAGGCGTGAGCCACCGCACCTGGCCTGGTGTGTTTCGACTTAATGGGAGGTTCAGGCTCTCTGAGCAGGTAACAGTTGACCTAAGACTTGGAGTGGGGAGTAAGTTGTGCGGATGACTGGGGAGAGGGTCCAGGTAGAGGAACAGCACGCGGAAGGCCCCCACTGGAGGGCACTCAGGACTGTGGCATGGTGAGAGGGGAGCCGGAGGGATGGGAAGGTGGAAGGACCTCAGGCCACGGGATGGTCTTTGGCCAGTCTCCAGAGTTTAGTGCGTGCCCCATTAAACATCCGTTAAACAAATGAACGGGAGCCGTGGGATCCAGCTGATGGGCGTTTCCCACCCCATAGGTGAACGAGCGGGTCCTGAACAGGCTCCATCAGGTGCAGAGGATAACTCGGAGGCTGCAGCAGGAACGGAGGTAACCCCTTCTCCGTCCCCTCTGGGCCTGTGAGCCTCAGCTCCCAAATGCTCCCAGCCCCTCTGTCTCTCCCACTTCCACATCCACCCAACCCTCACAAGCCACAAGGAGAAGCCGGAGATGAGGGCCGGGGGCTGAGGCAAACAAGGAGGAAGAGTGGGATTCGGTGTTGGAGGAGAGGGCTGAGCACTGGGACTGAGGGAGGGCCGGGTGGAGAGGGCTGAGCACTGGGACTGAGGGAGGGCCGGGTGGAAGGGGCTGTGCGCTGGGACTGAGGGAGGGCCGGGTGGAGAGGGCTGAGCACTGGGACTGAGGGAGGGCCGGGTGGAGGGCCTCCTCCCCCTGAAGGGAGGGAACAGCAGGATGGAAGGCACACGAGCACAGACCTGACTGCAAGTATTTTCTTTTTTTTTTGCTGTGTGACTCTAAGCAAGCAGTGTCCCTTCTCTGAGCTGTTTCCTATCAACTAAGGGCAGCACCAATATCATGAGGCTGCGGCAGGGTTGTCGGAGCTTGCAGGTGGTGAGCTGAGCTCAGAGCTTCCCACTGTGTGTCTCCACAGAACCTGCCCAGGTGGCTGCTGCCCCTGCCACTCGCAGTGTCCCTGTACCAGCAAAACTGGAGCAAGTTTTGTAGGAATGGCTCCACGTTGCTGAGTCAACCACAGTTCTCATCTCAGTCCTTGGCTCAGGCTCGGCACAGTGGCCCAGGGCTATGTGCTCTTCCCTGGAGCCCATTCTTGCCATCCTGGGCACCCAGCAACCTGGGGTCTCCTGCCTTTCCGGCTGTTCCTTCTTGGCTGCCTTTGCTAGTTCATCCTCCCTCCCCAAAGCTGAAACCTGCGGCTCCCAGGGTTCCTCTGTCCGTACCTGTGCTGTCCAGCACGGTAGCCGCTGGCCACAGGTGAGATTTTCACTTAAGTTGAAATAGGCCGGGCGCAGTGGCTCATCATGCCTGTAATCCCAGCACTTTGGGAGGCCGAGGCAGGCGGATCACGAGGTCAGGAGATCGGGACCATCCTGGCTAACACGGTGAAACTCCGTCTCTACTAAAAATACAAAAAAATTAGCCGGGTGTAGTGGCAGGCGCCTGTAGTCCCAGCTACTCGGGAGGCTGAGGCAGGAGAATCGCTGGTACCAGGGAGGTGGAGGTTGTGGTGAGCCAAATTCACGCCACTGCACTCCAGCCTGGGTGACAGAGTGAGATTCCGTCGCAAAACAACAACAACAAACCTGCCCAGGTGCTGGTGCAGAGGAGGCATTCCATCAATTGAACCTTAAGGAACTCTGGAGGCAGGGGCTGGGGAAAAAAGAGAAGGGGGTGTTTATAAGAGGTGAGGTCATTAGGAGGAGCGTTCTGTACTCCCCTCTCTTCAGTTATCAATAAAAATTATAACTCACATATGAATGTTTACTAAGTGCTGACATCACATTAAGTACAGAAATCGTCTGGTGTCACTACTTCAGTGTCACCGCTGCAACATCCAGCCGAGGGTGTCATGTCGTTTGCAGAGCAGGAAACTCAGCCTCAGAATGGTTGCCTTGTCTTGCTCGAGGTCTCAAGGCTGGTCAAGGGCATGGCTCCCAGGCCTCCAGTGCCAGAGCTCAGGACCGTCTGGCTCCAGGACAGCTTTGGCGTTGAGTGGAGTGGGAGCTGAGCTCTATCCTGTGGCCCTTTTCCCCAGCCGCTAGGAGATAAGTTATTCCGTTGGTGGCTTCTCCCCCTGAGCAGGTTCCTCATGAGAGTGCTGGACTCCTACGGGGATGACTACCGGGCCAGCCAGTTCACCATTGTGCTGGAGGTGAGTGTTGGGCCTCCAGGAGGGTCAGGAACTGGGAGCTCAGGACCCACCCATCACCTACCTCCCCCTCCTGCCTGCCAGGATGAGGGCAGCCAGGGCACGGATGCCCCCACCCCAGGCAATGCGGAGAATGAGCCTCCAGAGAAAGAGACACTGTCCCCGCCCAGAAGGACTCCTGCACCCCCAGAACCCGGCAGCCCAGCCCCCGGTGAGGGGCCCAGTGGGCGGAAGAGGCGGCGAGTGCCACGGGATGGACGCCGAGCAGGAAATGCGCTGACTCCAGAGCTGGCCCCGGTGCAGGTGAGGAAGGCGGGAACTCAAGGGGAGGGACTGGGGCTCCAGAGCCGGCGCCAGTGCAGGTAAGGAGGGGGGACTCAAGGGGAGGGGCCAGGGCTGGGGCTGAGTTAGGTTCAGGGCTCTTGGGTTTTGGTTCTGCACCCCGAGGGGCCCAGGGCTGGGGAAAGTTG
Organism: Homo sapiens; assembly: GCF_000001405.40. Classification (NCBI taxonomy): domain Eukaryota; kingdom Metazoa; phylum Chordata; class Mammalia; order Primates; family Hominidae; genus Homo; species Homo sapiens. Next base: position 82,278 of record NW_003571055.2, on the reverse strand, counting down.
GAGAAGGGAGGTGAACCAGGACATGTTGGAGGCCTAGGATCAGGCAGGGAAGTAGTTGGAAAAAGTGGGGTAAAGGCTTGGGTAAAAAGGAGGCAAAGTTGGAAAGGGAAAGAGGAAGACCTGGAGAAGGAAAAATAGCTAGAGAAGGCTGGGAGTAGAGGAGAAGGAAGGATCAGAGAAGACGGAGTGGAAGGGAAGGCCCAGTGTGGGGAGGAAAGCTGGAAGAACATCTGGACCCAGGAACACTGGGATTGCCTCTGAGGTGTAAGGAGGAAGGTGACTGGCCTGGGCAGACAAGAACTGTGAGGCTGGCCAGGTGCAGTGGCTCATGCCTGTAATCCCGGCACTTTGGGAGGCCTAGGTGGGAGGATCACTTGAGGCCAGGAGTCTGAGACCTGCCTGAGCAACATACTGAGACCCCATCTCTACCAAAAAGAAAAAACATGTTAGGCTTGGTTGGCAAGTGCCTGTAGTCCCAGCTACTTGGGAAGCTGAGGTGGGAGGATCACTTGAGCCTGGGAGGCAGAGGCTGCAGTGAACTATGATGGCACCACTGCACTCCAGCCTGGGCAACAGAGTGAGACCCTGTCTCTTTAAAAAGCAAAACAAAATGAAAACAAAAATGGTGAAGCTGATGGGATTTTCTAGATTCCCAGGCCTGTTAACACCTTGTTCCTTATCTCCTGCAGATTAAGGTTGAGGAAGACTTTGGCTTTGAAGCAGATGAGGCCCTGGATTCCAGTTGGGTTTCTCGGGGTCCAGACAAACTGCTGCCCTACCCGACCCTGGCCAGCCCAGCCTCTGACTGACGCATGCCCAATAAACTGACCCCACACTCACCCCGGCCACCGTCTACTTGTTCCCACCTCTGATCACACACATGCTCACGTTCGGGGGTTGGTTTTCACATTTTTATTGGGAGCCGTGGGAGGGGCCGCCTCTGTCAGTGGAGGTGCTCACAGTTTCTTCAGCCACTCCAGGCTGGGGCCCTGAGGGTCCTGGGGGTGGCTGGGCACGTCGGGCATGTTCCCATCATCACGGACGGGCACTGTGGGGCAGGAGGTGGGCCACTGAGACCAGCACGTCTCCAGGGCCCTGGAGAGAAGAGCTGGTCTGTCGCTTTATGTTCAGAGAGGGAAGGGGGACCCCAGGGGTGAGAGGGGAAGGGTCAGAGAATCAGTGATGCAGAAAGAGGCGGGAAATACAGAGACTGAGAGACACGGAAAACCAGAGAGATAGCGAGGGAGAGATCCCGCGCACTAGAGAGCTAGGGTCAAAAGAGATGGGGAAACAGGACAGAAACCTGAGAAGATGGAGACCAAGAAACCACCACAGATGGGAACCCAGAGAGAGACAGAAATCTGGAAAGGTAATAGAAACTCGAAGCACAGGCCAGGCGCGGTGGCTCACACCTGTAATCCCAGCACTTTGGGAGGCCGAGGTGAGTGGATCACAAGGTCAGGAGATCGAGACAATCCTGGCTAACACGGTGAAACCCCGCCTCTACTAAAAAAATACGAAAAAGTTTGCGTGTCGTGGTGGCGGGCACCTGTAGTCCCAGCTACTCGGGAGGCTGAGCTTGCAGTGAGCTGAGATCGCGCCACTGCACTCCAGCCTTGGCGACAGAGCGAGACTCTGTCTCAAAAAAACCCAAAAAAACAAAAACGAAGCACAAACACAGAATAGTATACGAATTATATCTCAATTCTTAAAAAATGGAACGGGGGGTCCGGGCACCACTGCAGAATCTCTGATAACTGCTTAGGAAAGACCTGCCCATAACTGCCCTTACGCCAGCACAGGGAGGCTGGGCCTATTCCGGGGATCCCTGCCTGGCCCCCACTCACCTGGGTAGTTGTAGGGCGTGGCCTTGTTGATCATGACGGAGTACTTGAAGTAGGGGCTCAATGGGGGCAGAATTACAGCTGTGGAGAGACACAGGGGTGAGGCCCAGGGGAAGGTGGCTCTGAAGAGAGGGGAAGAGAAGGTGAGCCTTGGCAAAGGGAAGATAAAGTGCGCAGGGGGAGGGCAGCAGGGAGGGCCAGCACGTCCAGGAGGATCCTTGGTACCTTGGGATCCCTACTTATAGACAGGAGGGTTTAAAACTCTTTTTTGGGGGGTTAAGTGGAGGTAGGGGTTGGAGCCTAACACTCACAGATACGTGGGGCCTGGAGGAGGCAGCAGTGGGGTTGGTCATGGAATGAGCACGTTTGAGTGTAGGGTCATCATGGAGCATCCTGGGGGTAGTGTCATGGGACTGTTCTGGAGAAATCAAGACTGTTACAAATTTGGCCGGGCACAGTGGCTCAAGCCTGTAATCCCAGCACTTTGGGCGGCCAATGTGGGCGGATCACCTGAGGTCAGGAGTTCGCGACCAGCCTGGACAACATGATGAAACCCCATCTCTACTAAAGATACGAAAATTAGCCGGGCGTGGTGGCAGGAGCCTGTAATCCCAGCTACTCAGGAGGCTGAGGCAGAAGAATCCCTTGAGCCTGGGAGGCAGAGGTTGCAGTGAGCCCAGATTGTGCCATTGCACTCCAGCCTGGGCAACAGAGAGAGACTCCATCACCAAAAAAAAAAAAAAAAAAAAGCCTTACAAACTGGAGGAGAAAGGGTTGCACAAACAACAGTCACTGACCACAGTCCATTTAGGGTGGGAGCCAGGAGTCCTGGGGGATGGGGTACAGTTCATAAAAGGAATGTTCTAGGCCAGTGCTGTCTGACAGATGGTAAGAGCCAGGTATATAATTTTATATCTTCTAGTAGCTACAGTAAAAATAAGAGATACAGATGAAACAAATTTTAAGAAACATACTTGGATGGGCGAGGTGGCTCATGCCTATAATCCCAGGACTTTAGGAGGCTGAGACGGGTGGATCACCTGAGGTCAGGAGTTCGAGACCAGCCTGACCAATATGATGAAACCCCGTCTCTACTGAAAATACAAAAACAGCCAGGTGTAGTGGCATGCGCCTGTAATCCCAGCTACTAAGGAGGCTGAGACAGGAGAATCGCTTGAACCCGGGAGGCGGAGGTTGCAGTGAGCCGAGATCAGGCCATTGCACTCTAGCCTGGACAAAAGCGAAACTCCGTCTCAAAAAAACAAAAACAAACAAACAAAAAAAACCATAGTACATCCAAAACATCACTTCGCCATGTAATCAACAAAAGATTATTGGTAGTTTACACACTCTGTTATACTAAGTTTTTGAAATCCAGTGTCTTATACCACCTCAATTCATACCAGCACCACTTCAAATGCTCAGTGGCCAGTTGTGGCTGGTGGCTGCCATACTGAATAAGTGTTCAGAACCTTAACCTAGTGCCTGGCTGGTGGACCAGCAGTACTGACAAGACCTGGGAACTCTTCAAAAATGCAGAATCCCATGCCCCACCCCAGACCTACAGAATCAGAACCTACAGTTTGGCCGGGCGCAGTGGCTCACCCCTGTAATCCCAGCACTTTGGGAAGGCAGATCACTTGCGGTCAGGAGTTCAAGACCAGCCTGGCCAACATGGTGAAACCTTGTCTCTACTAAAAATACAAAAATTAGCCGGGCGTGGTGGTGCTCGCCTGTAATCCCAGCTACTTGGGAGGCGGAGGCAGGAGAATCACTTGAACCCTAGAGGCGGAGGTTGCAGTGAGCCATGATCAAACCATTGCACTGTAGCCTGGAAGACAGAGCGAGACGCCATCTCAAAAAAAAAAAAAAAAAAAAGCTGGCCGGGCGCGGTGGCTCACGCCTGTAATCCCAGCACTTTGGGAGACCGAGTTGGGAGGATCACGAGGTTAGGAGATCGAGACCATCCTGGCTAACACGGTGAAACCCCGTCTCTATTGAACATACAAAAAATTAGCCGGGCATGGGGGCGGGCGCCTGTAGTCCCAGCTACTCGGGAGGCTGAGGCAGGAGAATGGCGTGAACCCGGAAGGCGGGGCTTGCACTGAACCGAGATCGCGCCACTGCACTCCAGCCTGGGCGACAGAGCGAGACTCAGTCTCAAAAACAAAAACAAAAAATTAGCTGGGCGCCTGTAATCCCAGCTACTCGGGAGGCTGAGGCAGGAGAATCCCTTGAACCCAGGAGGCCGAGGTTGCAGTGAGCCGGGATCGCGCCACTGCACTTCAGCCTGGGTGAGAGTGAGACTCCATCGCAAAAAAAAAAGCTACATTTTAACAATCCCCCGCCCCCATCCCTGCAGGAACTCCGGTGCTAATTAAAGTGTGAGTAGGGCAGTTCCAGGGCAGAGGGCAGAGATTTTCAATCAGCAAGGCACATTGGGATCATACGGGGATTTTCACAAGACACAGATTCCCCAGTCCCACCTCCACCCAAGCCAACTCAATTCAGAATGGGGGAGAGGAAAGATGAAAAGGAGGAGGAGGATCTGGACTTTTTTTTGGTGCTCAGGTGTTAAGGCATAAGCAGGGTTGAGAACGTCTCATTTAGAGGGGTTAAGAGCGTATTGGGTAGGTGGAGAGGAACGCGGGGGGCGATGGTGGAGAGGTTATAATGGGTATGGGGATAGATAAGGGGATGCCGTGGGGGTGCAGACACACTAGAGGGGACCCGAGGGCGGCGATAGGGCTTTAGGGGTACAAGATGGAGGGATGTAGGGGGACGGGGGTGGACGATGCAAGTTTGCGCCTGGAGCACTCACGCACCGAGGCCCCCGACGACGAAGGACACGACCAGCACTGGCTCCTTGTCCCAGGCATTCTTGAGGAAGGCGCCGACTCCTGAAGGGGTGGCAAGAAGCGTCACCCCTGCAAGTAGCTGCCCCCGGTGACCTCTAACCCTCTCGTGCCACCCCTGCCCTGGAGGAGCCCCCTCGTGACTTCTGCGTTCCCCTCCAGCACGGACCCCATCGCTTCCACCCCTGCCCTGCCGCACCTCAGTCCCAGGACCGCCCAGAGGTTCCCAGAACTACCCGAGCCCCGTGCGCCACCGGAACCTGCACTTACTCGCAGCCATCTTTGTCTCCGCGGCGGCGACAGCGGCGAGGACGCGGAGCACCCTGGGAGTTGTGGTCCCTATGCGCGAGAACCCGCTCCCAGGGCTGCGCGTGCGCCCTGGAGCACAAGTAGAGGCGAAAGCAAGGACGCGGAGCACTCTGGGAGTTGTGGTCCCTCTGTGCGACGGCCCGCTTTCGGAGCCTGCGCGTGCGCACTCGCGCAGAACAAAGATGGAGCCGTGGAGGTAAAGGAAGTGGTGTCAGGAGCAAGCGCAAGCCTGACTTTGCGGACCTGCGTGGAATCTCCTTAGTCTCAGCCTAGAAGTCGCTCCGGAGTGACTAGTCCTCCTGCTGCGACCCACCTAAGGCGGAACAAAATAGTCCCCATTTTATAGTTTATGTATGAAAGCCCATTTTACAGACGAAGAAACTGAGCCCGGGAGAAGGTGAATGACTAACCTGTCCTTCGAGGTCTCAGCTCAACATCGGCTCGTCCTGGAAGCGCTAGGTCTCATCCCAGATGGGTTAGGAGCTTTCTGCGGGCTCTCACAGTGCTCTGTTACCGCCATTATAGCTCAGATCACTTAAGAAACTGACCTGGTCTGGGCCGGGCGCGGTGGCTCACGCCTGTAATCCCAGCACTTTGGGAGGCCGAGGCGGGCGGATCACGAGGTCAGGAGATCTAGACCATCCTGGCTAACATGGTGAAACCCTGTCTCTACTTAAAAATACAACACAAATTAGCCGGGCGTGGTGGTGGGCGCCCGTAGTCCCAGCTACTGGGGAGGCTAAGGCAGGAGAATGGCGTGAACCCGGGAGGCGGAGCTTGCAGTGAGCCGAGATCACACCACTGCACTCCAGCCTGGGCGACAGAGCGAGACTCCGTCTCAAAAAAAAAGGAAACTGACCTGGTCTTGGTCTTTCAGTCGGACTGGTAGCTGCTGCTTGAGAGCAGTAACGGAGTCTGAGTTCCCTCTGTGCCTGCCAACATGGCACAGCGAGGGTCTGGCACGTAATAGGTTCTAATTTTTTTTTTTTTCTTCTGAGATTGAGTCTAGCTCTGTCGCCCAGGCTGGAGTGCAATGGCGCGATCTCGGCTCACAGCAACCTCCGACTCCCGAGTTCAAGCGATTCTCCTGCCTCAGCCTCCTGAATAGCTGGGATTACAGGCGCGCGCCTCCACAGCCGGCTAATTTTTCTTTTTTAGGAGAGACGGGGGTTTCTCCATGTTGGTCAGGCTGGTCTCGAACTTCCCGATCTCAGGTGATCCACCCGCCTTGGCCTCCCAAAGTGCTGGGATTACAGGCGTGAACAACCGCGCCCGGCCTAGAGGGGCTAATTTTTATCTATCTATCTATCTATCTATCTATCTATCTATCTATCTAACACAGTATCACACCAAGAGCCTGGCACATAATAGGTGCTAATTTTTCTCTGTCAACCAATCTATCAATCGATCAATTAATCACAGCAAGGGCCTGGCACATAATTGGTGTTAATTTTTATCTATCCATCAATCAATCACAGCAAGGGCCTGGCACTTAACAGGTGCTAATTTTTATCTATCTATCTATCTATCTATCTATCTATCCATCCATCCATCTATCTATCTTTCAATCACAGCAAGGGCCTGGCACATAATAGGTGCAAATTTTTATCTATCTGTCAATCAATGACAGCAAGAGTCTGGCACATAATAGGTTCTTATTTTTAAAACAGACAGATATCTTTCTATCTGTCTATCTATATTTAAAGACATGGTCTCACTCTATCACCCAGGCTGGAGTGCAGTGGCACAATTTATTTATTTTTTAGACAGGGTCTCGCTCTGTTGCCCAGGCTGCTCTTGAACTCTTGGGCTCAAGCGATCCTCCTGCCTCCACCTCCTGACTAGTATTTGTTTCTAGAGTTAAATAAATGAACACCACAGGTTATGACTGAACCCCCTGCTAATTTTTCCACAGTGCCATAGGGCTATGACACAGTCACCCACAGGCCCCCACCTCGATACTCTCTTCCGTAAATGAGGATCTGGGTCTGGTTTTCTGATGTTGCCTCATTTCCTGGGAGGGGAGAGGGTGCGACCAAGCCCTGGCTCCAGCTCTAGCGGGTATCTGCCCACCATGGCCCTGGTGCTGATCCTCCAGCTGCTGACCCTCTGTGAGTCACCCCTTTCTTCTCCCTGGGTTCCTGGCTGGGGTTGGGGGCAGAGAGAGAGGCAATGGAGACCCAGACACCCTGCAGGGGGACCAGGCAGCAGGTTTGGGATTCTAGGTTCAAATAAAGAACAGGGCTGGGGCCCAGACCCCTGGGTCCTAAAGCAAGAGAACACAGATTCCCGAAAGAGGAAGGAGGTGGGGACAGGTATCTCTGGTTCTTGAGGCAGGAAGAGGTCAGGAGACAGGGAGGACTCCCAGATTCTTATATGGGAGGGGGATGGAAGCCAGGACTCCTGATTCCCTGGGAAAAGGGGGCTGGGAACAGGGCTCTTAGCTCCTGAGAGAAGAGGGAAATGGGGACCCAGATTCCTGAACTCGTGAGAGGAGAAACTCTACGATCATTGTTCCCTGGAAAGGTGGAGTTCAAGGGCCTGAACTCTTGGTTGCCCAGGCCAGAGGGGTCTGCGTTCAGACTTCTTCGGTAGGTGGGCAATGGATGTCCAAATTTCTGCCTACTGAGACAGGAGGAGGGAGGGATAAGATTCTCATTTCCCAGAGGAGATAGGAGCTGGGAACTCAGATTCCTGGGTTACCAATGAGATGGGGCTGGCCACAAAGGGTTTTGAAAAGAACTCGCTGTTGGGCGCAGCGGCTCATGCCTGTGGGAGCCGAGGCCCAGCACTTTGGGAGGCCGAGGCGGGTGGATCACCTGAGGACAGGAGTTCAAGACCAGCCTGACCAACATGGCGAAACCCCTCTCTACTAAAAATACAAAGATTAGCCTGGTGTGGTGGCGGGCACTTGTAGTCCCAGCTACTACGGAGGCTGAGGCAGGAGAATCACTTGAACCTGGGAGGCAGAGGTTGCAGTGAGCTGAGATCACACCACTACACTCCAGCCTGGGCGACAGAGTGAGAGTCTGCCTCAGACAAAAAAAAAAAAAGGAAAAAGAAACTAGTCCCTCAACCTCCTACAGGGCCTCTGTGTCACACAGACATCACTCCGTCTGGTGAGTAGCCACCCCATCCACTCTCCTTTTGTTGCTGACACCCCTTTTCCAATTACTCAGATTTTATTTTGGTGCCCAATCCCATCCCAGATATCCTTATTTTCCTCCCTCCCTCCATTCCTTCCTTCTTTTCTCATTCCCCTTAGTGGCCATTATAGGTGAGTACTGAAGACCAGGAACTTCTGAGGCAGAGGCCTAAGCTAGGACCTCAGTTTCACCATCGTATTCATTTATATGTGACCATATGACCTAGAACAAGTCACAGCTTGCTAAGACTCCATTTCCTTCTCTGTAAAATGGGCCGCTGTGAGATCTCATCAAATCACATGTGCAAAACCCTGAGCCTGGCACAGTACAGGGCTTAAGAAATAGGATCTTGGGCTGGGCGCAATGGCCAACGTCTGTAATCCCAGCACTTTGGGAGGCAGAGGCGGGCGGATCACAAGGTCAGATCGAGATCATCCTGGCTAATGTGGTGAAACCCCGTCTCTACTAAAAAAAAAAAAAAAAAAAAAAAAAAATTAGCCGGGTGTGGTGGGACGCACCTGTAATCCCAGCTACTCAGGAGGCTGAGGCAAGAGAATCGCTTGAACCCAGGAGGCAGAGGTTGCAGTAAGCTGAGATCGCGCCACTGCACTCCAGCCTGGGTGACAGTGCAAGACTCCACTTCAAAAACAAACAAACAAACAAACAAACAAAAACTCTTTTGGAGATATTTCAGTGTCGCTATAGCTATCTCTACCTATTTATTTTATTTATTTATTTATTTATTTTGAGACCAGTTTCTCTCTGTCGCCCAGGCCGGAGTGCAGTGGTGCAATCTCGGCTCACTGCAACCACCTCCTGGGTTCAAGGGATTCTCCTGCCTCAGCCTCCTGAGTAGCTGGGACTACAGGCACACACCACAATGCCCGGATAATTTTTGTATTTTTAGTAGAGACAGGGTTTCCCCATGTTGGTCAGGCTGGTCTGGAACTCCTGACCTCAGGTGATCCCTCTGCCTCAGCCTCCCAAAGTGTTGGGATTACAAACATGAGCCCCCTCACCCGACCCTTATTTTTATTCATTTTTAGAGATGGGGTCTCATTGTGTCACCCGGGCTGGAGTACGGTGGCTCTATCATAGCTCACTGCAGCTTTGAATTCCTGGGCTCAGACAATCCTCCAGCCTCAGCCTCCCAAAGTGCATGCCACCATGGAGTTCTCACTCTGTTGCCCAGGCTGGAGTGCAGTGGCATGATCTCAGCTAACTGCAGCCTCCGACTCTAGGGTTCAAGTAATTCTCCTACTCAGCATCCCAAACAGCTGGAACTACAAGCTAGCACTACCACGCCTGGCTAATTTTTCTGTTTTTAGTAGAGATGGGATTTTACCATGTTGGTCAGGCTGGTCTTGAACTCCTGACCTCAGGTGATGCACCCACCTTGGCCTCCCAAAGTGCTGGGATTACAGCTGTGAGCCACCGGACCCAACAGCCTTCCTGTACTCTTAATTTGTGTGATTTGTGAATAAGTGATATCTGCCAGTACTATCATTTGTCCTCCAGTTTTGTCTTTTAGCATACACAACTTAAGAAATTTGAAGTGGTCAAATTAATTAATCTTCCATACAACTTTTTATTTTATATTTTAAGAAGCCTTCCTTACCCCAAGACAAATATATTTTCCTATAGTTTTTTGAATACTTTTATAGTTTAAAAAAAAAGAAACACAGGGTCTTTAATTAATCTGGAAGTTGTTTTGGGAAATGGTATGAGGTAGGGATCCAACATTTTTCTTTTCCAAATAGCAAGTTTTGGCAACTCTTGAAATACTATATTGCAAATATTCTGGAAAGCTATTTAAAATTAGAGTTCTGGCTGGGCGTGGTGGCTCACACCTGTAATCCCAGCACTTTGGGAGGCCGAGGTGGGAGGATTGCTCGAGCCCAAGAGTTCAAGAGTAGCCTGGGCAATATAGCGAATGCTCGTCTCTACTAAAAATTAAAAAAAAAAAATTAGCCTGGTGTAGTGGCATGTGCCTGTGGTCCCAGGTACTCAGGAGGCTGAGGTGGAGGACTGTTTGAGCCCAAGAGATTGAGGCTGCAGTGAGTTGAGAACATGCCACTGCACTCCTGCCTGAGCAACACAGCAAGACCCTGCCTCAAAAAAAAAAAAAAAAAAAAAAAAAGTCTGGGTGTGGTGGCACAAGCTTGTAAACTTAGCACTTTGGGAGGCCGAGGTGGGAGGATTGCTTGAGGCCAGTAGTTTAAGACCAACCTGCTCAACATAGGGAGACCGCCCCCTCCCATCTCATTACTTAAAAATAATAATAATAATAAAATTACAGAGTTCTGGGACCTGACCTTTTGAAACTGTGTTTACAAACTGTGGAGTAAAGCTCAGAAGTTTCTGTCCTGCCCCTCTGATTTGCACCTGGTTTTAACAAGGCTTGATTGTAGTCCAGTCTCTCCCTGATTTTACAAACAGGAAACTGAGGCTAAGAAAGGGGCAGTAATTGTCCAAGGTGATTTTCCTCCTTCCCCAACTTCCCTTTCATCTTCTGGGGCTCCCAGGAGGCCCGAGGACCCAGGCAGCCCCGTTTATTCAGTCCCCCCAGCTTCATACCACCCTAAGCCATGGCTGGGAGCTCAGCCGGCTACAGTTGTGACCCCTGGGGTCAACGTGACCTTGAGATGCCGGGCACCCCAACCCGCTTGGAGATTTGGACTTTTCAAGCCTGGAGAGATCGCTCCCCTTCTCTTCCGGGATGTGTCCTCCGAGCTGGCAGAATTCTTTCTGGAGGAGGTGACTCCAGCCCAAGGGGGAATTTACCGCTGCTGCTACCGAAGGCCAGACTGGGGGCCGGGTGTCTGGTCCCAGCCCAGCGATGTCCTGGAGCTGCTGGTGACAGGTGAGGTCCTGGGGTCGGGGAGGAGAAGTGGGTGGAACAAGGGAGTTGGGGGAGGGACAGAGAGATATAGGGAAAGAGAGACAGAGCGAGGCGGGCAAACAGATTCACAGACACAAGAAAAGACAGATACAGAGACACTAGGGGGAGAGAGAGAGACAGGGGAGCAGAGAGAGAGAGACAGGGGAGCAGAGAGAGAGAGAGGTACAGTGCGGGGGGAGAGAGAGAGAAAGAGGCAGAAGGAGAAAGGGAGGCAGAGAGAGAGGGAGGCAGAGAGAGAGGGAGGCAGAAAGAGAGGGAGGCAGAGAGAGAGGCAGGCAGAGAGAGAGGCAGGCAGAGAGAGAGGGAGGCAGAGAGAGAGGGAGGCAGAGAGAGAGGGAGGCAGAGAGAGAGGGAGGCAGAGAGAGAGGGAGGCAGAGAGAGGGAGGCAGAGAGAGAGGCAGGCAAAGAGAGAGGCAGGCAGAGAGAGAGGGAGGCAGAGAGAGAGGGAGGCAGAGAGAGAGGGAGGCAGAGAGAGAGGGAGGCAGAGAGAGAGGGAGGCAGAGAGAGGGAGGCAGAGAGAGAGGGAGGCAGAGAGAGAGGCAGACAGAGAGAGAGACAGGCAGAGAGAAAGAGAGGCAGAAAGAGAGAGAGAGGCACAGAGAAAGCGAGAGACAGAGGAGAAGGAGAAACAGAGCGAGCGAGCGAGCGGAAGACGCTCACGCGGCCCCGGACTCTCACCCCGTCTCTGCAGAGGAGCTGCCGCGGCCGTCGCTGGTGGCGCTGCCCGGGCCGGTGGTGGGTCCTGGCGCCAACGTGAGCCTGCGCTGCGCGGGCCGCCTGCGGAACATGAGCTTCGTGCTGTACCGCGAGGGCGTGGCGGCCCCGCTGCAGTACCGCCACTCCGCGCAGCCCTGGGCCGACTTCACGCTGCTGGGCGCCCGCGCCCCCGGCACCTACAGCTGCTACTATCACACGCCCTCCGCGCCCTACGTGCTGTCGCAGCGCAGCGAGGTGCTGGTCATCAGCTGGGAAGGTGAGGGCCCTGAGGCCCGGCCCGCCTCCTCCGCCCCAGGAATGCAGGCCCCAGGACCTCCGCCCTCAGACCCAGGAGCCCAGGCCCCCAGCCTCTCCTCCTTCAGACCCAGGGGTCTAGTCCTGCAGCCCCTCCTCCCTCAGACCCAGGATTCCTGGGACCCAGCCCCTCCTCCCTCAGATCCAGGAGTCTAGTCCTCCAGCTCCTCCTCCCTCAGACCCAGGATTCCCGGGCCCCAGTACCTCCTCCCTCAGACCCAGGACTCCAGGCCCCCAGCCCCTCCTTCCTGGACCCAGGACTCCAGGCCCCCAGCCCCTCCTTCCTGATCCAGCAGTCCAGGCCCCAGCCCCTTCTTCCTGGACCCAGGAGTTGAAGCCTCCATCGACTCCCCCTCAACTTTGAGACTGTAGAGTCAGGTCCCTAAGTCCACCCCAGGGGCTGGAAACCTGGAGTTCAGGGCCCAGACTTTGGGGTCCGGGAGCTGATGGCCCCTCTCTCCCGGCTCCGCCCGCAGACTCTGGCTCCTCCGACTACACCCGGGGGAACCTAGTCCGCCTGGGGCTGGCCGGGCTGGTCCTCATCTCCCTGGGCGCGCTGGTCACTTTTGACTGGCGCAGTCAGAACCGCGCTCCTGCTGGTATCCGCCCCTGAGCCCCAGGAGCACTGCAGCCCGAGACTTCCAACCTGAGTGGCGGAGAAGCTGGGACCCTGGGCTGGACTGTCCTTTCCTGCAGCCCCACAGTCCTGCTGGCTGAGCTCCGCGGAACGGTCCTTAGACCCCGCTGTGCCCTGTGCTGTAGCTTCTTTCCAGGCCTTTCCCAAGGAGTAGCTGAAAGGAAGACGCGATTAGTGGTTAAGACTTCCAAGCCAGAAGACAGAGGGTTCGAATCCCAGCACTGCCGTCTACTCACTGTAGTAGTAGCAGCTACAGAAAGGTAGTAGTGAGACGTGAAGCCAGCTGGACTTCCTGGGTTGAATGGGGACCTGGAGAACTTTTCTGTCTTACAAGAGGATTGTAAAATGGACCAATCAGCACTCTGTAAGATGGACCAATCAGCGCTCTGTAAAATGGACCAATCAGCAGGACATGGGCGGGGACAATAAGGGAATAAAAGCTGGCGAGCGCGGCACCCCACCAGAGTCTGCTTCCACGCTGTGGGAGCTTTGTTCTCTTGCTCTACACAATAAATCTTGCTGCTGCTAACTCTTTAGGTCCGTGCCATCTTTAAGCGCTGTAACACTCACCACGAAGGTCCCTGGCTCCATTCTTAAAGTCAGCGAGACCACAAACCCACAGGAAGGAACCAACTCTGGACACGGTAGCAGCATTCAGAAAGCGCCCTTCCCCAACTCTCTCTTGCCTTGACGGTAAAATGGATGCACTGATAAAACCCACTTCATAGGATTGTTGTAGGATTCAGTGGGTAATACACATAAAACATTTAAAGCAGTAACTGGCCCGTAGTAAGTGTTCAATAAATGTTAGCTACCCTGTAACACCGATTTCTACCAGACTCAGTGCCGAAAGGAAGGTCTCACCTTTTTGCCATCAAGCATAATCAAGCACGACTTTTTCTTTCTTTCTTTCTTTTTTTTTTTTGAGAGAAGATCTCACTCCACCCAGGCTGGAGTGCAGTGGCGTGATCTCGGTTCACTGCAACATCCGCCTCCCGGGTTCAAGTGATTCTCGTGCCTCAGTCTCCTGAGTAGCTGGGATTACAGGTGTGCGCTATCACGCCCAGCTAATTTTTGTATTTTTAGTAGAGATGGAGTTTTGCCAAATTGGCCAGGTGGTCTCGAACTCCTGACCTCAAGTGATCCACCTGCCTCGGCCTCCCGAATAGCTGGGATTACAGGTGCGTACCACCATGTCCGGCTAATGTTTGTATTTTTAGTAGAGACGGGGTTTCACCATGTTGACCAGACTGGTCTTGAACTCCTGACCTCAAGTGATCCGCCCGCCTCAAGAACTGAATTTTGAAGTCTAATTAGCCACCTGGGGGCGCTAACGTGTTGAAAAGACGGGAGGAGAGACTGAGCGGGTCTTCCGGGGTTTGATCTCAGTGCCAGAGGGGCCTTGGTAGAACATATGTGGGACAACCTCCCCGGCATATGTGGCTGTGGGAAATAATAACAATTTTAAAAAAGGAATAAGCCGGGGGTGCTGGCTCACACCTGTGATCCTAGCACTTTGGGAGGCCGAGGCAGGTGGATCACGAAGTCAGAAGTTCGAGACCAGCCTGGACAACATGGTGAAACCCCGTCTCTACTAAAAATACAAAAATTAGCCGGGCGTGGTGGCGGGCGCCTGTAATCCCAGCTACTCGGGAGGCTGAGGCAGGAGAATTGCTTGAACCCAGGAGGCGGAGGTTGTAGTGAGCCGAGATTGCATCACTGCACACTCCAGCCTGGGTGACAGAGCAAAACTCCGTCTCAAAAAAAAAAAAAAAAAAAAAAAGAATAAAGAAGAGACGCAGGTTATAAGGAAGGCACCAGACCTGGATGAGGCTGTGATGTCATCAAATCCAGTCTTCCCACTTTATAAATGGGAAAATGGTGGAAAGAGAGGTGATATTAAGTTTACCTAAACATGTACAGGAAGTCAGTGGCACATCAGGGAGTCTTTTTTTTTCCTTTTTCCCTCTTTTTTTATTTTATTTTATTTTATTTTATTTTTTTTGAGGTGGACTTTCGCTCTTGTTGCCCAGGCTGGAGTGCAATGGCGCCATCTCGGCTCACCACAACCTCCGCCTCCCAGGTTCAAGTGATTCTCCTGCCTCAGCCTCCCGAGTAGCTGGGATTACAGGTGTGAGCCACCACACCTGGCTAATTTTGTATTTTGAGTAGAAACAGGGTTTCTCTGTGTTGGTCAGGCTGGCCTCGAACTCCCAAACTCAGGTGATCCGCCCGCCTCAGCCTCCCAAAGTGCTGGGATTACAGGCATGAGCCACCGTGCCCGGCCCTCTTTTTTTAAAAATGTATTTCCACCCAAAGCAGAGAAAAAGAAGTCTTGGCCGAGTTTGTACTTCAACTTAACTCCATGTATTCATCCATTCAATCACTCCTTCATTCACCATTCACTCATTCATGTCTAGCATTGATTCTCATCCTTATTCATTTCTATTGAGCATCTCTTTTTCCTTTGCTTTCATTTGTACATTTGTCTATTTCATTTGTCCTTATCCATCATGCATTCATTCATATTTCCATCCATTTACCCATCCATTTCTTCATTAACCAGTTTTTAATCCACTGAACTATTTATTCATTCAATATCCATCTATCTACCTGTGCATTTATCTATCCAATAAGCTTGAGATTTTTTTTCTTTTTGAGATGGAGTCTTGCTCTGTTTCCCAGGTTGGAGTGCAGTGTTGTGATCTCAGCTCACTACAATCTCCACCTCCCGGGTTCAAACGATTCTCCTGCCTCAGCCTCCCAAGTAGCTGGGATTACAGGCACCTGCCACCATGCCCGGCTAATTTTGTGTTTTTAGTAGAGATGGGGTTTCACCATGTTGGCCAGGCTGTTCTCGAACGCTTGACCTAAAGTGATCCATCTGCCCACCTTGGTCTCCCTTTAAAGTGCTGGGATTACAAGCGTGAGCCACCGCACCCAGCTGAGATTTCTTCATAGCAGTTTACCAGTGACCAGTGTTCAATGAATGCTTATTGAGTGAGTTGTAGTCACAATGCTTATTTCATTTTCTACCACTGAACATCTTTTCATACTGGTCATTTTGCTGGGTGATCCACATAGGTTATTTCTGATCAACAGCCCCCAAGACACACAGAAGTGCCTAACTTGGGACTTGTCTGTGTGGTTAGACTGCTGGGTCTTTTCCCCCTGTTCCTGCCTCTTAAAGCAATGACAACACTGCCATCACCACGCCTGGCCAATTTATTATTACTATTATTATTATTTTTTTTTTGAGATGGAGTCTCGCTCTGTTGCCAGGCTGTAGTGCAATGACGCGATCTCGGCTCACTGCAACCTCCGCCTCTTGGGTTCAAGTGATTCTCCTGCCTCGCCCTCCCGAGTCGCTGGGATTACAGGCGTGTGCCACCACCATGCCCAGCTAACTTTTGTATTTTTAGTAGAGATGGGGTTTCACCATGTTGGCCAGGATGGTCTCGATCTATTGACCTCGTGATCCACCCCCCTCGGCCTCCCAAAGTGCTGGAATTACAGGCGTGAGCCACCGCGCCCGGCTAATTGTTTACTTTTTATAGCTATGGGATCTCACCATGTTGTCCAGGCTGGTCTTGAATGCCTGGCCTCAAGCCATCCTCCTTCCTTGGCCTCCCAAAGTGCTGGGATTCCAGGAGTGAGTCACTGTGCCAGGCCTAGGGCTTCCACTGATTTCCCCTAGTCTCATTCATCCTCGTATCACTCATGTATTCAATGTCTACCGTGCATGGCATTGTGCTAGAGTCCGGCGGTCCAGTGGGGAGCAATAGCAGACATAAACCCTGCACTCATGGAACTCACAAAGTATTAACCAAATCACTGCATAGTGTATTGGTTACAGAGCACTTTAAGCTGTTGTAAAAAAGAATCTCCCGGCCAGGTGCAGTGGCGCACACCTGTAATCCTAGCACTTTGGGAGGCCAAGGCAGGTGGATCACCTGAGGTCAGGAGTTCGAGAGCAGCCTGATTAACATGGTGAAACCCTGTCTCTACTAAATACAAAAAATTAGCCTGGTGTGGTGGTGCATGCCTGTAATCCCAGCTACTCGGGAGGCTGAGGCAGGAGAATCACTTGAACCCGGGAGGCGGAGGTTTCACTGAGCCGAGGTCGTGCCATTGCACTCCAGCCTGGGCAACAAGAGCCAAGCTCCATCTCATAAAAAAGAGAGAGAGAGAGAAAAAAAGAATCTCCTTCACCACCGGAAAAAAACTAGATATAAATGTACCTCTCTCTCACTTAACAGTAAATCACTGGGCAATCTCAACGATTTACTTGTTAAGGTGGGATGGTTTTGCTTTTATCAACATGTAGCTTTAATTTCTGGTTCTGAGCCCCAAGAAAGAGGAGAGGACAGAGAGAAAAGGGCTCACACAATTATTATTTTTTTTTTTTTCCGAGTTGGAGTCTTGCTCTGTCGCCCAGGCTGGAGTGCAGTGGCGCGATCTCGGCTCACTGCAAGCTCCGCCTCCCGGGTTCACGCCATTCTCCTGCCTCAGCCTCCCAAGTAGCTGGGACTACAGGCGTCCACCACCACACCCGGCTAAATTTTTTTGTATTTTTAGTAGAGACGGGGTTTCACCGTGTTATCCAGGATGGTCTCGATTTCCTGACCTCGTGATCCGCCTGCCTCAGCCTCCCAAAGTACTGGGATTACAGGCGTGAGCCACTGCGCCCGGCCCACACAATTATTTTTTAAGAGCAGGACCTAGAATTTGAGCATGTATCTTCCTATCGCATCCCATTGGCTAGAACTTAGTCTCATGGACAGGTCTAGCCGCAAAAGTGACTGATGGAAATATGGTCTCTAGCCTGTGCCCTTCTAAAAATGAGGGTGGGAGGGGGTGGGATAGGTGCAGTGGCTCACTCATAATCCCAGCATTTTGGGAAACTGAGGCAGGAGGATGGCTTGAGGCCAAGAGTTTGAGACTCCCTTCTCTATTCAAAAAAAAAAAAAAAAATACAGTAGGCCAGGTGCGGTGGTTCACGCCTGTAATCCCAGCACTTTGGGAGGCCAAGGCAGGCAGATCACCTGAGGTCAGGAGTTGGAGACCACCCTGGCCAATATAGTGAAACCCCGACTCTACTAAAAATACAAAGCTGTAATCCCAGCTACTCGGGAGGCTGAGGCAGGAGAATCACTTGAACCCTGGAGGCAGAGGTTGCAGTGAGCTGATACACGCCATTGCACTCCAGCCTGGGCCACAGAGCGAGACTCCGTCTCAAAAAAAAAAAAAAAAAAAAAAAACAACGAATAAAACAAAAAAACAAAAAACAAACAAAAAAAAGTTTAATGATTTTTCTTCTCTCTAGGAGAAAATATGGAAGTAAAACAGGACCCATCTGAAGATCGTGTGTCCTCTGCTGATTTTAAATAGCCATGGAAAGTTAATGCCACCGCAAGGGGCAGCCCCGCCCTGGCACTCTGGAAACCTGGTACTTATCCACGCAATCAGAGGCTTGAACCACAGCTAAGCTGAGTCTCGGCGGGACCTCTTCTGATCCTCCGGGCACACAAGAGGATTGGGGGCTGGGGAGGAGCTGCTTCAAGGCCACCTCCGTTTTACCTCCCGTGATACCGTGATATAGTAAGAAATATGTACTTGGTCTTCAGCTTTGGTTCCAAAGACACCCTTCTCACCCCATCACTCTGGAATTTCCAAAAACCCTTGGTGAGAAGGGTGTCTTTTGTTATTTATAAGGAGCCTCTTTTCTCTCTTTCTCTCTTTCTTGCTTCCTTCCTTCCTTGCCTCCCTCCCTCCCTCCTTCCTTTTCTCTTTTCTTTTTTCTTCTTTCTTTATTTTTCTTTCTTTCTTTCTTTCTTTCTTTCTCTCTTTTCTTCTTTCTTTCTCTCTTCCCTTTCTCTCCCTTTCCTTTCCTTTCTCTCCCTTCCCCTCCCCTCCCCTCTCCTCTCCTCTCTTTTCCTTTCTTTTCCTTCCTTTCCTTCTTTCCTCTAATCCCAGCACTTTGGGAGGCCAAGGCGGGCGGATCTCTTGAGGTCAGGAGTTTCAGACCAGCCTGGCCAACATGGTGAAACCTCGTCTCTACTAAAAATACAAAAATTAATCGGGCATGGTGGCAGGCACCTGTAATTCCAGCTACTCTGGAGGCTGAGGCAGGAGAATCCCTTGAACTAGGATGCAGAGGTTGCGGTGAACCGAGATCTCACCACTGCACTCCAGCCCGGGCTACAGAGCGAGACTCCGTCTCAAGGAAATATAAAAGAAAATAAAATAAATGTCTCCCAAAGAGACAAGTCAGATTAGCCTAAACCCAGGAATAACTACAAGCAGTTTGAGGGCCAAAGGCAAGGTAGGGGCTGGCCAGATCCGATCTCCTTCACTGCCATCGTTTGCTCACTCTCGTAATTTTTGCAAAGGAGGTTTCAATTGCATGGTTGTCAGCGAACATCCTATTCATCCATTTCTTGCTTTCTACCAGTAAAATTGAACTTTATAGGCCTGCTTTGTGCTTTTAAGGCTAACTAGCAAAATTCCAGAGTTTAGCCTTAAAAAATATTTATAATTGGCCGGGCACAGTGGCTTACACCTGTAATCCCAGCACTTTGGGAGGCTGAGGCGGGTGGATCACAAGGTCCGGAGATCGAGACCATCTTGGCTAACATGGTGAAACTCCGTCTCTACTAAACACACACACACACACACACAAAAGTAGCCGGGTGTAGTGGCACACGCCTGTAGTCCCAGCACTTTGGAAGGCTGAGGTGGGCGGATCATGAGGTCAGGAGATCGAGACCATCCTGGCTAACATGGTGAAACCCCGTCTCTACTAAAAATACAAAAAAAAAAAAAAGTAGCCGGGCGTAGTGGCACATGCCTGTAGTCCCAGCTACTTGGGAGGCTGAGGCAGGAGAATCACTTGAACCCGGGAGGCAGAGGTTGCAGTGAGCTGAGATTGTGCCATTGCACTCCATCCTGGGTGACAGAGTGAGACTCCATCTAAAAAAAAAAATTCTTTATAATTGATCAAAAGAAGTTTAAGAAATGGATTAAGAAGATCTCTTCTTTGCAGCTGTAGGGGAGGAGAGGGAGCTAGAGAGAGAGAGGGCATTGAGAGAGGAGAAAAAGATATTCTGTGCCATAAAACTAATTCAAGAATGTAGTTTAGGCGAGGCATGGTGGTTCACACCTGTAATCCCAGAACTTTGGGAGGTCGAGGCAGGCGGATCACTTGGGCCCAGAAGTTCGAGACCAGCCCTGGCCAACATGGCAAAACACTGTCTCTACTAAAAGTACAAAAATTAGCCCGGCGTGGTGGCACAACCCTGTAATTCCTTGTACTTGGGAGGGCTGGGGCAAGAGAATCACTTGAACCCGAGAGGCAGAGGTTGCAGTGAGTCGAGATCACACCACTGCACTCCAACCTGGGTGACACAGTGAGACCCTGTCTTAAAAAAAAAAAAACAAAAAAAAAAAAAACAGAGTGGGGTGGGGGGCTGGGGGAGGGATAGCATTAGGAGAAATACCTAATGTAAATGATAACTTGATGGGTGGAGCAAACCAACATGGCACATGTATCAAACCTGTACATTATGCACATGTACCCTAGAACTTAAAGTAAAAAAACAAAACAAAACAAACAAACAAAAAAATGGAATGTGGATTGATAAGTTAATAAACTGAGAATATTAAAAAGGCTCTAAATGTGTTTTATAGTCTTATGTAGTATGGAGATCTATGGATATTTATTACAGCAGCCAGTGTTCCATTCTGTGGTTCCATAAATCTGTGCTTTGAAGTGTAATTTGCACAAAATAATCTTGTAGGAGTCCAAAGACATTAGAAATTATTGCCAGTATTGCAATCATTATTTTGAAGGAGAAACCTTGGTGCCATTTGGTGGTCTTACTTAATATTTTGTTGCCCTGGTAACAATCTTATGATTGACATCTGAATTTCCAAGCAGAATAAATGCTTGTAAAAACAATTCTGTTAAATCAGAAGCTATGCATTGGTGTCTGTGTCTTAGTCTGTATTCTGTTGCTTAGAACAGAACACTTGAAGCCAGATAACTTATAAAGAAAAGGAATTTATTTCCTGTAGTTAATGGAGGTTGGAAAGTCCAAGGTGGAGGGGCTGCATCTGGTGAGGACCTTCTTGCTGTTGGGGACTCTCTGGAGGGTTCCGAGGTGGCACAGGGCATCACAGGGCAAAAGAGCTGAGCGTGCTACTTAAGTCTCTCTTCCTCTTCTGATAAAGCCACCAGTCTCACTCCCAGGGTAACCCATTAATCCATTAACTCACTAATCCATTAATCCATGAATGGATTAGTTCATTCATGAGAAAAGAGTCCTCATGACCCAATCACCTCTTAAATGCCCGACCTATCAATACGGCCACATTAGGGATTCAGTTTCACCATAAGTTTATTTATTTATTATTTATTTATGTATTTTTTGAGACAATGTCTTGCTATGTCACCCAGGCTGGACAGCAGTGGCATGATCTCAGCTCATTATAACCTCCACCTCCCAGGTTCAAGTGATTCTCCTGCCTCAGCCTCCTGAGTAGCTGGTATTACAGGCACGTGCCACCATGCCCGGGTAATTTTTGTATTTTTAGTAGAGACAGGGTTTCATCATGTTGGCCAGCTAGTCTCAAACTCCTGACCTCATGTGATCTGCCCACCTTGGCTTCCTAAAGTGCTGAGATTACAGGTGTGAGCCACCACACTCAGCTTATTTACCTATTTATTTTTTGAGACAGGGTCTCACTGTGTTGCACAGGCTGGAGTGCAGTGGTGCAATCACGGTTCACTGCATCCTCAGCTTTCTGGGCTCAGGTGATCCTCCCACTTCAGCCTCCTGAGTAGCTGGGATCACAGGCATGTGCCACCTCACCTGGCTAATTTTTAAATTATTTGTAGAGACAGGGTCTCCCTATGTTGCCCAGGCTGGTTCAACATGAGTTTTCAAGGGAACAAATATTCAAACCTTAGCAGCAGGTTAAATGATCTTTCTCCCACATTTATGATCGGAAAAAAAAAATTAAAGCCTGAGACTCTGCTAGACTTCTTACTTTAACAAGAGTCTGAGAGTCTTGTTTCATTTCCATTACAGCATCTATTAATAGTTCTGACTGAGAGAAGAGCTATCCTTTACTTTGACGATTATGAAGAATAGGGGAAAAGACATTAAAAAGACACAATTACACCATTGATGATTTTGTCACAGCTGAGATAAGTGCTGTTAAAGAACTTGCAGGGAAGTCTTTGCTAAAGAAAAGATTCTGAAGCTGGTTTCTGAGGGAAGAGTCAAAGTTAGCCAAGCAAAAATGGGGGAAAAACTCCAGATACAGGAGTTTTCAGGATGTTTCAGGGTCTGAGATGGGAAGGAGGTTATGTGTTCCAACCCAGTGGTTCTCAAACTTGACTGCACATTAGAATTTCCCAGGAACATTTAAAACACAGAATGAGACACCCAGGCCTCATCCTATACCCATTATAAAAATTAAAATCTCGACTGGGCACGGTGGCTCACACCTGTAATCCCAGCACTTTGGGAGGCCAAGGTGGGCAGATCACCTGAGGTCAAGAGTTCAAGACCAGCCTGACCAACATGGAGAAATCCCATCTCTACTAAAAAATACAAAATTAACTGGGTGTGGTGGCACTTGCCTGTAATCCGAGCTACTTGGGAGGCTGAGGCAGGAGAATCGCTTGAACCCGGGAGGCAGAGGTTGCAGTGAGCTGAGATCATGCCATTGCACTTCAGCCTGGGCAACAAGAGCAAAATTCCATCTTAAAAAAACAAAAATAAAAAAATAATTAAAATCTCTCGGTGGGACTCAGGCACTCAGTAAATATATATATATCTATTTCCATTGACCATAACACATGACAGACTAAAGATGGCCTCCAATTCTTTGTCACTGTCCCTATAGAGAGGTAGAGTTTATTTTCCCTCCCCTTGAATCTGGCCTTTCCTTAAGACTGTAGAAGAAGAGAAACTGTGTCAGTTCCAGGCTTAGTCTTTAAAGGGACAAACAACTTTTGCCTTCTTTATTTTATTTATTTATTTATTTATTTGAGACAGAGTCTCATTCTGTTGCCCAGGCTGGAGTGCAGTGGTGTGATCTCGGCTCACTGCAACTTCCGCCTCCCAGGTTCAAGCAATTCTCCTGCCTCGGCCTCCTGAGTAGCTGGGATTACAGGTGTGCACAAACACACCCGGCTAATTTTTTTTAATTTTGTTTTTAGTAGAGACGGGGTTTTACCATGTTGGCCAGGCTGATGTTGAACTCCTGACCTCAGGTGATCCACCCACCTCGGCCTCCCAAAGTGCTGGGATTACAGACGTGAGCCACCATGCCCAGCCGCCTTCTCTATTTTAGAAAGCTCTCTTGTGACATCCCCTCTTGAAACCCAGATGCTATCCTCCAAGAAGTCTGAATCAAATGGAGAGGCCATGTGCAGGTACATCATTCAACAGTCCTAGCCGAGCTTTCAACCAACATCCAGCATCAACAGCCAGCCATTTGCAAGTGCCATCTTGGAGATTCCAGCTCAGTTGAGCCACCCTGATGACTGAAGCCCAGGAAGACATCACATTGAACCGAAGAACCGCTCAACTGAGCCCAGTCATCTCACCAGATCAGGAATGATTAAAAAAAAAAAAAAACAAGATTGTTACTCTAAGTTACTCAGTTTTGGGGTGGTTTGTTAACACAGTAATTGATAACCTAAACCCAAAAGAGAACTAAATAATGATGACTTAAAACTAATACCAATTGATTTCTCCCTTATGTAGAATAAATCTGAAGGGAGCAGTCCAAGGCTGGCACAGTGACTCCAAAAAGCATTATGGACCTAAGTTACTTCTGGCTCACCCTCCACCATCTTGAACCTCATCTCATCTTCATGGTTCAAGATGACGCTAGAATACCAGTCATCACATCCACATTTTAGGCAGTTAAGTGAAGGAAGGAAAGTGTACTTCATTAAAGAACCTTTTGGAAGCTGTCTACAATATTTATGCTTATTTATCATTGTCCTAGATGAAGACTTACGGCTACATCTACCTGTAAGTGACACTGAAGAATGTAGTTTTTTACCTGGGTGCCAATGGGCCCAGCTAAAAATCAGAATTCTCAACAGCAAAAGGATGGCTTTGAGATAATCATGTAGATTATGTGCAGATAACTACAGATAAGTCCCCTCCCCCAAGTCTATTTTAAATTTTCTCCTGGAGTATTTTAAAGTAAACCTCAGATATAATATGATTTCATCTATAAGACTTTTTATTTTGGTAACATATTCTTAAGGTTAGGTGTGATAAACACCTAACAAAGTGAATGATTATTTATTTATTTATTTTATTATTATTTTTTGAGATGGAGTTTCACTCTTGTTGCCCAGGCTGGGGTACAATGGTGCGATCTCAGCTCACTGCCACCTCCCCCTCCCAGGTTCAAGTGATTCTCCCACCTCAGCCTCCTGAGAAGCTGGGATTACAGGTATATACCACCAAGCCTGGCTAATTTTTGTATTTTTTGTAGAGATGGGATTAGGCCATGTTGCCCAGGCTGGTGTTGAACTCCTGGGATCAAGCCTTCCACCTACCTCACCTCCCAAAATCTTAGGATTACAGGTGTGATCCACCTTGCCTGGCCCTAAGCTATTCTTTATTCTTTCTTTTTTCGTTTTTTGAATCAGGGTCTCCTTTCTTCATTTCCAAGTGGAATGGAACTTTACCAGGCCTTTCCTGTTGACTGATAAAATTCCAGAGCCTAGTTTTAAAATATGCATATTCCTTGTTAGCAACAGAGATGTTAAGAAGAAATATAGGAGATGTCCTCTTTTCCCTGATACTGCATAAGGAGAAAGATTTTTTCTGAGTCACAACACTAATTTAAGGAATCTGATTTGATAAAGAGTTGAATTGAGAAGATTCACAAGAATATCAGTCTTGTTTTCTGGTACAATATGGAGAACTAAATGAATATTCACAAACATTACTAAATTGTTCTCTGTTGAAATAAATTCATACACAAAACTGTTATTTGAACAAAAGGGTCTTGTAAGAGTCCCAAGCCTTTAAAAATCATTGCCACATCTTGTGAAAATAACTTTCAAAGAAACACCTGTAATTATAGTTGGTTTTACTCCTTATAATTTGTTGCCTTGTTGACTTTTCTATGTTCCAAAACAGTAAGAAGAGTAGGTGCTATCAAGACAAAAAATCCGAAAACAAAAACGAGACTTCGGGGCATTTTGCTCTTCTTCCAAATGCAAGATGAAAAAAAACATGGTTAAAAACTAACTTGCTTGATTTCTTATTTTAACAAAAAAATAAAAAATTTTGTCTGATTCAAATTAACATTTTTTTTTTTTTTTTTGAGACTGAGTCTCACTCTGTTGCCCAGGCTGGAGTGCAATGGTGCGATCTCAGCTCACTGCAACCTTTGCCTCCCAGGTTCAAGCAGTTCTCCTGCCTCAGCCTCCTGAGTAGCTGGGATTACAGGCGTGCACCACCACGCCCAGCTAATTTTTGTATTTTTAGTAGAGATGAGGTTTCACCATGGTTGGCCAGGCTGGTCTCGAACTCCTGACCTCAGGTTATCTACCTGCCCCGGTCTCCCAAAGTGTTGGGATTACAGGCATGAGCCACTGCGCCAGGCTAAATTAACATAATTATCAAATGCAATCTGTAGACTTTTATTGGATCCTGATTTATTCTTTAAAAACCTGATAGAAATGACATTTTTGAGACAATCAGGGAAATTTGAGTACTGAATGGGTATTAGCTGGTATCAAGGAGGTACTCTTAACTTTCTTGATGTGACAGTGCTGTGGTGCTTATATTATTTTTAAAATGGTTCTTATTTGATAAAGATAGATATGTACTGAAATATTCTGAACTTAAAAAATGAGCTCATGACTGGCTGGGCACAGTGGCTCATGCCTGTAATCCCAGCACTTTGGGAGGCTGAGGTGGGTGGATCACTTGAGATCAGGAGTTTGAGACCAGCCTGGCCAACATGGTGAAACCTCATCTCTACTAAAAAATACAAAAATTAACTGGGCATGTTGAAGGGCTCCTGTAATCCCAGCTACTTGGGAGGCTGAGGCAGGAGAACCGCTTGAACCTGGGGGGTGGAGGTTGCAATGAGATGAGATTTTGCCACTTCACTCCAGCCTGGGCGAAAGAGTGGAACTCTGTCTCAAAAGAAAAAAAAAAAATGGTGATGAAGGCCTGGCACAGTGGCTCATGCCTGTAATCCCAGCAGTTTGGGAGGCCGAGGCAGGTGGATCACTTGAGGCGAGGAGTTCAAGACTAGCCCAGCTAACTTGTGAAACCTCATCTTAACTAAAAATACAAACATTAGCCGGGCATGGTGGCATGCGCCTATAATCCCAGCTACTTGGGAGGCTGAGGCCGGAGAATTGCTTGAACCCAGGAGGCTGAAGTTGCAATGACCTGAGATCGTGCCACTGGACTCCAGCCCAGGTAACAGAACCAGACACCATCTCAAAAAAAAAAAAAAGAGTGAAGTGCTTTCATCTCTTCAATACGAACCCTTCAGGGCCAAGTCTGAAGCATTTTCGGGGTTACCTGTTTGATGCCTGAAATCTGCCTGAGACAGAGGAGCATTTCCTGTGAGTCAAGTGCTCGAACACTGGTGTGTGTAAGGAGCATGTTGCAATCAGCAACATCAACATGTTTCCTGAATGTGGATATGGGAGGGGAAACTGAAAGGCTAGGAAAGGCTGTTACTGCCCACACTCTGGGGTGGGAGAGAGGCAGCGACGACTCCAGCTCTTCTCCCATCTGTGGACTGCAGAACCCAAGACGGACTCTGGGAGGGCTAAGGAGCCATCATGATCCCTAAGCTGCTTTCCCTCCTCTGTTTCAGTAAGTCTCACAGGGCTATCCACTGGGACTGCAGAAAATCATGGAACTGGTGGGATAGTTGGGCTGGGGATGGAAATAATAACATCAACTTTGGCTTACTGAGCACACGGGAGGAGTGAGACGTCCTGCTGAGTGCAGTGCAGACATTCCCTGGAAACGAGTGCTCTGCAAACTTCAACTCCTGTAGTTTCAACTTCGTGAGTTTTGCTGAATGCCTCCACCACCTGGCTTCATTGGCTTACCCCTTTTCTCAGGATCAACTCTGACTTTTTGTGTGTAAGTAAAAGTATTCAGAATAGAAACCTTATTTTATTTTATTTTATTTTATTTTTTTGAGACAGAGTTTTGCTCTTGTTGCCCAGGCTGTAGTGCAATGGCATGATCTCGGCTCACCACAACCTCTGCCTCCCGGGTTCAAGCGATTCTCCTGCTTCAGCCTCCTGAGTAACTGGATTACAGGGGTGCGCCACCATGCCTGGTTAATTTTTGTATTTTTAGTAGAGACAGTGTTTCACCATGTTGGCCAGGCTGGTCTCGAACTCCCGACCTCAGGTGATCTGCCCACCTCAGTCTCTCAAAGTGCTGGGATTACAGATGTGAGCCACTGTGCCTGGCCCAGAAACCTTAATACCATAAATAAAAATTTAGTGTCAAATAGATAACTATAAAGTAAATTGAGGCCGCTGTGTAACCATCACCACTATCTACACTAAAACCTCTTTCTTTCTTCCTTCCTTCCTTCCTTTCTTTCTTTTTCTCCTTCCCTTCCTTCCTTCCTTCCTTCCTTCCTTCCTTCCTCCCTTCCTTCCTCTCTCTCTCTTTCTTTCTTTTTTTTTTTTTTGAGATGGAGTCTCGCTCTGTCGCCCAGGCTGGAGTGCAGTGGTGCGATCTCTGCTCACTGCAAGCTCCGCCTCCCGGGTTCACGCCATTCTCCTGCCTCAGCCTCCCGAGTAGCTGGGACTACAGGCGCCCGCCACCATGCCCGGCTTTTTTCGTAGGTTTCACTGTGTTAGCCAGGATGGTCTCCATCTCCTGACTTCTTGATCTGCCCGCCTCGGCCTCCCAAAGTGCTGGGATTACAGGCGTGAGCCCCCGCTTGCTTGCCTGCTTGCTTGCTTGCTTGCTTTCTTTCTTTCTTTCTTTCTTTCTTTCTTTCTTTCTTTCTTTCTTTCTTTCTTTCTTTCTTTCTTTCTTCCTTCCTTCCTTTCTTTCTTTCTCTTTCTCCTTCATTCCTTCCTTCCTCTCTCTCTTTCCCTTCCTTCCTTCCTTCCTTACTTCCTTCCTTCCTTCCCTCCTTTTCCTTTTTTTGAGACAAAGTCTCACTCTGTACCCAGGCTGGAGTGCAGTGGTATGACCACAGCTCACTGCAGCCTCCACCTCCTGGGCTCAAGCAATTCTCCTGCCTCAGCCTCCTGGGTAGCTGAGATTACAGGTGCCCACCACACACCCGGCTGATTTTTTGTACTTTTTAGTAGAGACGGGGTTTCATCATGTTGGCCAGGCTGGTCTTGAGCTCCCTCAGGTGATCACCTCAGGTGATCTGCCCGCCTCAGCCTCAGCCTCCCAAAGTGCTGGGATTACAGGCGTGAGCCACAGTGCCCCGTGTAATTTTTAAATTTTTTGTAGAGACGGGATCTCACTATGTTACTCAGGCTGGTCTCAAACTCCTGGCCTCAAGCAGCCCTTCTGCCTTGGCCTCCCAAAGTGCTGGGATTACAGGCGTGAGCCACTGTGGTGGCTCTGCCACCTTTTTCTCCCATCCTGGCCCTCAGCAGAATACCCACCTCCATTAGGAAGGCCAACCTGCCCGACTCAGCATTAGATTCAAATGCTGATCTTTCTAAAAACACCCTCACAGACACGCCCAGAAATAATGTTTAACCAGATATCCCAGCATCCTGTGGCCTGGTCTAGCTGATAAATCAAATTAACAATCACAATTCCCAATATGAACGCTACACCCTCTAACCAATAACTCTGTATTTGCCGCGGTCCTCCCAGCCCCTGGTAACCTCCATTCTAATTTCTTTTTTTTTTTTTTTTTTTCGGAGATGGAGTCTTGCTTCGTCACCCAGGCTGGAGTACAGTGGCCTAATCTCAGCTCACTGCAACCTCCGCCTCCTGGGTTCAAGCGATTCTCCTGCCTCTCCCTCCCGAGTAGCTGGGATCACTGGCGCTCACCACCATGCCTGGCTAAGTTTTTTTTTTTTTTTTTTTTAGTAGAGACAAGGTTTCACCATGTTGACCAGGCTGGTCTCGATCTCCTGACTTTGTGATCTGCCTGTCTCGGCCTCCCAAAGTGCTGGGATTACAGGCGTGAGCCACCGTGTCCAGCCCATTCTAATTTTTATCTCTATGAATTTGCTTATTCTAGGATGTATGAGTGGAATCATAACACTTGTTCTTTTTTGCCTGACTTAGTTTACTCAGCATAATATCCTCGAGCTACATCTATATTGTAGGATATGTCAGATTTCCTTTCCTTTTTATGGCTAAAATCCCACTGTAGGCCGAGCACAGTGTCTCACACCTGTAATCCCAGCACTTTGAGAGTCTGAGGCAGGCAGATCGCTTGAGCCCAGGAGTTCGAGACTAGCCTGGGCAACATGGTGAAACCCTGTCTCTACAAAAAATACAAAAATGAGGCTGGGCATGGTGGCTCACGCCTGTAATCCCAGCACTTTTTTTGCAATGACCTGACGTAAGGAGTTCGAGAACAGCCTGGCCAATAGGGTGAAACCCCATTTCTACTAAAAATATAAAAATTAGCCATGCGTGGTGGCGGGCGCCTGTAATCCCAGCTACTTGGGAGGCTGAGGCAAGAGAATCGCTTGAACCCAGGAGTCAGAGGTTGCAGTGAGCCGAGATCATGCCATTGCACTCCAGTCTGGGCAACAAGAGCGAAACTCCATCTCAAAATAAATAAATAAATATTAAAAACAACAACAACAACAAAAATGAGCTGGGCATGGTGGTGTGCAGCTGTAGTCCCAGCTACTCGGGAGGCAGAGGTGGGAGGATCACCTGAGCCCAGGGAGTTGATGCTGGAATGAACTAGGATCACATCATTGCACTCCAGCCTGGGCAGCAGAGCGAGACCCTGCCTCAAAAAAAAAAAAAAAAAAAAAAGAAAGAAAGAAAAGAAAAAGAAAAAAGCATTTTGGAGGCTAAGATGGGCGGATCACCTGAGGTGGGGAGTTCAAGACCAGCCTGACCAACATGGTGAAACCCTGTCTCTACTAAAAAATACAAAATTAGCTGGGCATGGTGGTGCATGCCTGTAATCCCAGCTACTTGGGAGGCTGAGGCAGGAGAATCACTTGAACCCACAAGGCGGAGGTTGCAGTGAGCTGTAATCCCAGCTACTTGGGAGGCTGAGGCAGGAGAATCACTTGAACCTGCAAGGCGGAGGTTGCAGTGAGCTGTAATCCCAGCTACTTGGGAGGCTGAGGCAGGAGAATCACTTGAACCCGCGAGGCGGAGGTTGCAGTGAGCCGAGATCGCGCCATTGCACTCCAGCCTGGGCAACAAGAATGAAACTATGTCTCAAAAAAAAAAAAAAAAAAAACGAAGAAAAAGAAGAAAAATCCCATTGAATATATAGAGCACACTGTGTTTATCCATTCTTCCATGGATGGACACTTACGTTGTTTGAACATTTTGGGTGTTCACAATTTCCTTTTGCAAAACTTGAAGTGTCAGTTTATGGATTGGCTCATGGATGTAATAGTAGCACAAACGCCTGGTAACTTCTCCTTTTTCCTGCTGAGACCTAAAACTGTTCACACAGGGGAAAAAGAGGAAATCTCTCAGAGACACAGGCCTAACTAACTTTCTTTGAGTTAGATCAATCTCATTATTATGATAATGTTCATAAACAGGCTTGATATTATGTTTTTTCTTTTCTTTCTCTTTTTTTTTTCTTTCCTGAAACTGAGTCTCGCGCTGTGGCCAGGCTGGAGTGCAGTGGTGCGATCTCAGCTCATTGCAAACTCTGCCTCCTGGGTTCAAGCGATTCTCTGCCTCAGCCTCCTGAGTAGCTGGGATCACAGGCGCCCATCACCACACCTGGCTAATTTTTGTATTTTTAGTATAGACGGGGTTTCACCATGTTGGCCAGGCTGGTCTTCAACTCCTGACCTCGTGATCCACCTGCCTCGGCCTCCCAAAGTGCTGGGATTACAGGCGGGAGCCACCGCGCCCGGCATGGTCAAGAGTTCTTAACCAGCCCAGCCCTGTCTCTATCAAAAAAAATTAAAAAGGAGGAAGAGCAAATGCAGCCATGTGTGAAACAGGGAGGAACGTATGCTTTCCCCTTTCTGGAATGACCATTTGGATGTTTTGAGGCTTGTTACAGGACACCAAACAATAAATTTTGTCCTGTTTGGAGTCATGAAGGGATTAAAAGAGATCATGAGCCTGGGCAACATAGGGAGACTCTGTCTCTGGGAAAGACTAAAAAATTAGCCGGGTGTGGTGGTGCACACCTGTGATCCCAGCTACTCGGGAGGCTGAGGTGGGAGGATCACTTGAGCCTGGGAGGCTACAGTGAGCCATGATGGAGCCACTGCACTCCAACCTGGGCAACAGAGAGAGACCCTGTCTCAAAACACAATAATAAAATGAAAAATTAAAAAATAAAAAGAAGCTGGGCACAAAGCTCATGCCTGTAATCCCGGCACTTTGGGAGGCCGAGGTGGGTGGATCACCTGAGGTCAGGAGTTCGAGACCAGCCTGGCCAATATGGTGAAACCCTGTCTCTACTAATAATACAAAACTCAGCCGGGCGTCCTGGCGCATGCCTGTGATCCCAGCTATTTGGGAGGCTGAGGCAGGAGAATCACTTGAACCCGGGAGGCGGAGGTTGCAGTGAGCCGAGATTGCGTCACTCTACTCCAGCCTGGGCGACAGAGCGCAACTCTGTCTCTGGAATGAATGAAAGAAAGAAAGAATGAATGAAAGAAAGAAAGAATGAATGAAAGAAAGAAAGAAAGAAAAAGAAAGAAAGAGCGAGACTCTGTCTCTGGAATGAATGAAAGAAAGAATGAATGAAAGAAAGAAAAAAGAAAGAAAGAAAGGAAAGAAAAAGAAAGAAAGAAAGAAATGGTAAGAATGAGTGCTGTTTTCAAACAGAAGATGAGAATGGAAGGATTTGTGGGAAAGGCCTGGAGCAGGGGGAGGTGACAGCCACACAGGATGGTCAAGGAGAATCGCTGGGAAAGGATGGAGGAGCTGGAAGTCGAGCAGAAGCCACAGTCCAGTGTGGGGAGAATGAGAACTCCTGAGCGTATGACCTCTAAGGGTCTGTTCTCAGCAGGAGACTCTGGGACGATCTCCAGGGGTCAGGGCAGGGGGTGACGTGGCTCCAGGTAGGGGCTTCTGGCTCACGGAGGATTGTCTTGCAGGACTGTGCGTGGGCCAAGGAGACACAAGGGGAGATGGTGAGTGTTTCTTCAACTACACCCTCCTTGGCCTGTCATCCCAAATCCCCTGCTGTTCTCTTCCCCTTCCCCCTCTTTTTCTCTTTTTTTTTTGACGGAGTCTCACTCTTTCGCCAGGCTGGAGTGCGGTGGTGCAATCTCGGCTTACAGCAACCTCCGCCTCCTGGGCTCAAGTGATTCTCCTGTCTCAGCCTCCCAAGTAGCTGGGACTACGGGTGCTTGCCACCACGCCCAGCTAATTTTTGTATTTTTAGTAGAGACGGAGTTTCACCATGTTGGCCAGGATGGTCTCGATCTCATGACCTCGTGATCTGCCTGCCTTGGCCTCCCAAGGTGCTGGGATTACAGGCGTGAGCCACCGCACCCAGCCCGCTTCCCTTCTTAAAATGGGATTCCTGATTGGGCTCAGGGGTTCACGCCTGTAATCCCAGCACTTTGGGAGGCCAAGGTGGGTGGATCACCTGAGGTCAGGAGTTCGAGACCAGCCTGGCCAACATGGTGAAACCTTGTCTCTACTAAAATACAAAATTAGCTGGGTGTGGTGGTGCGTGCCTGTAATCCCACCTACTTGGGAGGCTGAGGCAGGAGAATTGCTTTAACCCAGGAGACGGAGGTTGCAGTGAACTGAGATTGCACCACTGCACTCTAGCCTGGGCAACAGAGGGAGACTCCATCTCAAAATAATAATAATAATAATAAATTTTAAAAAGGGCTTCCTGAGAGCAGGGGAGGGCATCGGGTCCAGCATCAGGCTCTGCTTCCTTCCAGGGTCACTGCCCAAGCCGTCCCTCAGTGCCTGGCCCAGCTCGGTGGTCCCTGCCAACAGCAATGTGACGCTGCGATGTTGGACTCCTGCCAGAGGTGTGAGCTTTGTTCTCAGGAAGGGAGGAATTATTCTGGAGTCCCCGAAGCCCCTTGATTCTACAGAGGGCGCGGCCGAATTTCACCTCAATAATCTAAAAGTCAGAAATGCTGGAGAGTACACCTGTGAATACTACAGAAAAGCATCCCCCCACATCCTTTCACAGCGCAGTGACGTCCTTCTACTGTTGGTGACAGGTACAGACAGGGTGCCTGCCAATGACATACGGGGGACAGGGGATGAGGGAGGAAGTGGAGGAACAGAGGGAGAAAAGGGGTCCCACCTTCAGAGTAGTTGGGGGTGATGGGAGAGGGAGAGAGACAGGAACGAAATTGCATATGTTGGTTTTATACTTTGTCGCCCAGGCCAGAGTGCAGTGGTGCCATCTCGGCTCACTGCAACTTCCGCCTCCTGGGCTCAAGTGATTCTCCTGCTCCAGCCTCCTGAGCAGCTGGGATTACAGGTGCCTGCCACCATGCCCGGCTAATTTTTGTATTTTTAGTAGAGACAGGGTTTCGCCATGTTGGGCAGGCTGGTCTCGAACTCCTGACCTCAGGTGATCCACCCGCCTTGGCCTCCCAAAGTGCTGGGATTACAGGTGTGAGCCACCATGCCAGGCCTTACACAGGTCTTGTAGGAGGGAGAATCTCTGTCCTGGGGTCGGAGTAGGAAGTGGAGGAAGGTAGAAGAGATCAGGAATCTCTCATTTCCCACACTCCACGAGAGCCTCCGGCCAGGAGAACAGGGGTGAGTGGGGGATTCCAGACTTCTCCCCAGGACCTCAGAACCTGACTTCTCTTACAGGACATTTATCTAAACCTTTCCTCCGAACCTACCAAAGGGGTACAGTGACCGCAGGTGGAAGGGTGACTCTGCAGTGCCAGAAGCGAGACCAATTGTTTGTGCCTATCATGTTCGCTCTACTGAAGGCAGGGACGCCATCACCCATCCAGCTGCAGAGTCCAGCGGGGAAGGAGATAGACTTCTCTCTGGTGGACGTGACAGCCGGCGATGCTGGGAACTACAGCTGCATGTACTACCAGACAAAGTCTCCCTTCTGGGCCTCAGAACCCAGTGATCAGCTTGAGATATTGGTGACAGGTAAGGGCGTGTATGGTTTTGAGGAACTGTGTGTGTTGTTTTTAATCAGAGATTGTTTTGTTCTTCTGTGAATCTCATTTCTTCATTACTTACAATATCATCGCTCTTAACAAAATCTTCCCTTTCTGGCCTGGCGTGGTGGCTCATGCCTGTCATCCCAGCACTTTGGGAGGCCGAGGTGGATGGATCATCTGAGGTCAAGGATTTGAGACCAGCCTGGCCAACATAGTGAAACCCCGTCTCTACTAAAAATAAAAAATTAGCCAGGTATGATGGCATGCACCTGTAGACCCAGCTACTTGGGAGGCTGAGGCAGGAGAATTGCTTGAACATGGGAGGCGGAGGTTGCAGTGAGCCAAGATCTTGCCACTGCACTCCAGCCTGGGCAATAGAGTGAGACTCTGTCTCAAAAACAAAAAACAAAAAACAAAAACAAAAACAACAAAACAACAAAAAAACCTCCCTTTCACAATTTCCACTCCTTTGCCTTTTTTTTTTTTTTTTTTTTTTGAAATGGAGTCTCACTCTGTTGCCAGGATGGAGTGCAATGGCGCGATCTTCGCTCACTGCAACCTCCACCTTCCAGGTTCAAGTGATTCTCCTGCCTCAGCCTCCCAAGTAGCTAGGATTACAGGCCTGCACCACCCATCCGGCTAATTTTTCTATTTTTAGTAGCGATGAAGGTTTCACCGTGTTGACCAGGCTGGTCTTGAACTCCTGACCTCAGGTGATCTGCCTGCCTCGGCCTCCCAAAGTGCTGGGATTACAGGTGTGAGCCACCGTGCCCGGCCCTCCTTTGCCTTTTTGTTATACTACATCCTTGGAAAATTTCTAGGCTGTTTTTGAAAATTATGAATCTACCAGCACCAGATTCCTTCTACCAGTCTTTGCATCTCTTAGCGTTTTGGTTTTTTGTTTTGTTTTGTTTCATTTTGTTTTTGAGACAGAGTCTCGCTCTGTTGCCCAGGGTGGAGTGCAGTGGTGCGATCTCAGCTCACTGCAACCTCTGCCTCCCGAGTTTAAGCAATTCTCCTGCCTCAGCCACTTGAGTAGCTGGGATTACATGTGCCCACCACCACGCCTGGCTAATTTTTGTATTTTTAGTAGAGATGGGGTTCTGACCATGTTGACCAGGCTGGTCTTGAACCCCTGGCCTCAGGTGATCCACTCACCTCGGCCTCCCAAAGGGCTGGGATTGCAGGTGTGAACCACTGTGCATGGCGTGTTTTGGTTTTTCTTGGTGTTAGTGATTTCACTCTCAATAATTCTTTCTCAGTCATGTGCGGTGGCTCAGGCCTGTAATCCCAGCACTTTGGGAGGCTGAGGCTGGAGAATTGCTTGAGCCCAGGAGTTTGAGACCAGCCTGGGCAACATAGTGAGACCCAGTTTCAAATTAAAAAAAAAAATTATCTCATCCTCAGAACATGGTGTTTGCACAGCCTCCTGCTTCTATGCCGTGGATGCGAAGTCTACCCATGTCTTTTATTGACTGCTAGAATTCTTCTGAAAGTATCTTGTTTCCTGCCTTACTGGGTGCTAGCACTCTGCTTCCTCAGCTCTGTAAATTATTTTTCATCTATTGTAACTGCTGTAATGAGTTACATTACAGCTCTTGCCGGGTGCCTGGATGAAGCCCATTCATCAAGACAGAGGAATTGCAAAAAAGAGTTTAATACACATTGAGCCAGGTAAGTGGGAGACCAGAGTTTTTTTGTTTGTTTGTTTGTTTGAGACGGAGTCTTGCTCTGTCGCCCAGGCTGGAGTGCAGTGGCGCGATCTCGGCTCAATGAAACCTCTGCCTCCCAGGTTCAAACGATTCTTCTGCCTCAGCCTCCCGAGTAGCTGGGACTATATGTGTGCCACCCTGCCTGGCTAATTTTTGTATTTTTAGTAGAGATGGGGTTTTACCATATTGGCCAGGCTGGTCTCGAACTCCTGACCTCGTGATCTGCCCGCTTGGGCCTCCCAAAGTGCTGGGATTACAGGCATGAGCCACTGCACCTGGCCAATCAGAGTTTTATTATTACTCAAATCAGCCTCCCTGAAAATCTGGAGGCTAGGGTTTTGTTTGTTTGTTTGTTTTCTTTGAGATGGAGTCTCACTCTGTCGCCCAAGCTGGAGTGTAGTGGCACAATCTGAGCTCACTGCAGCCTCCACCCCCCAACCCCAGGCCCAGGTCAAGTAATTCTCCTGCCTCAGCCTCCTGAGTAGCTGGGATTACAGGCACCCGCCACCACACCCGGCTAATTTTTTTGTATTTTTAGTAGACATGGGGTTTCGCCATGTTGCCCAGGCTGCTCTCAAACTCCTGGCCTCAAGCAATCCTCCTACCTTAGCCTCCCACAGTGCTGGGATTACAGGCGTGAGCTACTGTGCCCGGCCTCAACTCAAACTTTCTCAGGTGCACTGCTGCACAGCAGTGTGGGCTGCGAGGATGCTGATCCAGCCACGGAATTCGGGGCTCTGTAGAGCTCCTTCCGTCTCATGTGCTGCCCCAAGACTATTCCTTAACATAAGGATGCGGGAGGAGAAAAGGCAATGTGGGAAGGTGGAAATGGGATAAAGAGCAAATAAACGAAGGAAGAGAGCTAAGGTGGAGTGAATATCAAGGAAGGAAGATAAAGGAACTCCCATTACAACTCATTAGGATTGCATATCTTGGCCGGGCGCGGTGGCTCAGGCCTGTAATCCCAGCACCTTGGGAGGCCGAGGCAGGCGAATCACTTGAGGCCAGGAGTTCGAAACCAGTTTGGCCAACATGGCGAAAACCCATCTCTATTAAAAATACAAAAATTAGCCGGGTGTGGTGGTAGGTGCCTGTAATCCTAGCTATTCGGGAGGCTGAGGCAGGAGAATCGCTTGAACCCAGGAGGTGGAGGTTGCAGTGAACCGAGACTGCGTCGCTGCACTCCAGCCTGAGCAACAGAGTGAGACGTCGTCTCAAAAACAACAACAAAGATTCCATCTTTTGTTTTCAGGGATTAAAACTTTAAAGAGCTCAATTATGGCCAGGCATGGTGGTTTATGCCTATAATCCCAACACTTTGGGAGGCCAAGGCGGGTGGATCACCTGAGGTCAGGAGTTCGAGACCAGCCTGACCAACATGGAGAAACCCCGTCTCTACTAAAAATACAAAATTAGCCGGGTGTGGTGGCACATGCTCATAATCTCAGCTGCTTGGGAGGCTGAGACAGGAGAATCACTTGAACCCGGGAGGCAGAGGTTGTAGTGAGCTGAGATTGTGCCATTACACTCCAGTCTGGGCAACAAGAGCAAAACTTGATCTCAAGAAAAAAAAAAAGTTCAATTAAAACTTTAAAGTACAGTGGACTACTGGCTAGAAAACATTAAGTGGGTGGCCGGGCGCGGTGGCTCACACCTGTAATCCCAGCACTTTGGGAGGCTGAGGTGGGCGGGTCACCTGAGGTCGGGAGTTCAAGACCAGCCTGGCCAACATGGCGAAACCCCGTCTCTACTAAAAATATAAAATTAGCCGGGCATGGTGGCACATGCCTGTAATCCCAGCTACTTGGGAGGCTGAGGCAGGGAGGCTTGAACCTGGGAGGCAGAGGTTGTGGTGAGCTGAGATTACACCACTGCACTCCAGCCTGGTCAACAAGAGTAAAACTCCGTCTCAAAAAAAAAAACCAAAAAACCGAAAACATTAAGTGGGTGATGATAGTCAGATTTGGTGGGGCCATTTGAGAAGGAGGGATACCCTCTGAGGGTCAGTGCTGAGCCCCTTCTCTCTTTCAGTTCCCCCAGGTACCACATCGAGCAACTACTCCCTGGGTAACTTCGTACGACTGGGTCTGGCTGCCGTAATTGTGGTTATCATGGGAGCTTTCCTGGTGGAGGCCTGGTACAGCCGGAATGTGTCTCCAGGTGAATCAGAGGCCTTCAAACCAGAGTGACTCCATCTTGAACCGGGGCTGGGTAAACTGAGGCTGCAACCTGCTGGACTGCATTCCCAGGGGGTTGAGGCTTTCTAAGTCACAGGATGAGACAGGTCACAACATACAGGTCACAAAGACCCAAAGACACAAAGATGCAACAAAGAAGCCAGCCAAAACCTGCCAAATCCAAGATGGCAACAAAAGTGACTTCTGGTCGTCCTCACTGCACATTATTTGCTAATTATAATGCATTTGCATGCTAAAAGACACTCCCACCGCCACCAAGACAGCTTACAGATGCCATGGCAACTTCCAGAAGCTAAACGAGGGAGGGACTCTCAGTTCCAGGGAAATCCCCTCCCCTTTCCTGGAAAACTCATGAACAGTCCACCCCTTGTTTAGCATACGATCAAGAAATAACCACAAAAATAGCCGACTGACAGCCCTCTGGACTGCTCTGCCTATGGAGCAGCCATATTCCTTGACTTTCTTAATAAACTTGCCTTCACTTTACTCTGTGTACTCACCCTGAGTTCTTACTTGTGTGAGATCCGAGAACCCTCTCTTGGGGTCTGGACTGGGACCCCTTTCCAGTAACAGATCCAAGTTAAAACACGGATCCCCTCTCTCTTTCATGGGCTGCTGTAGAGATATGGAATTCTCTTCTGCTCCAGATTTATTGAGATCTAATCGACAAATAAAAATGGAGTTATATTTGTGTACAACGTGATGTTTTGATATATTCCATTTTGATTTATCAATTATACCCCCATAAGCCTACGGGTGGGGAACCCTCCTACTAAGTAATTTATTGTGTACCAAGGAAGAAATTTCACTGATTGTGACATGAGTATCACAATGTAGCTAACGAACCTTTCTGTTTAAGATCCACCTTCTGGGAACCTCCCTACTAAATAATTAATTGTGTACCAAAGAAGAAATTTCACTAATTGTGACATGATTATCACAATGTAGCTAATGGACTTTTCTGTTTAAGATCCACCTTCTGGGAACTTTCCTACTAACTAAGTAATTAATTGTGTGCCGAGGAAGAAATTTCACTCATTGTGACAATGGTTATCTCAATCTAGCTTATGGACCTTTCTGTTTAAGATCCACCTTCTTAGCAAATTGTAATTACCCAGTGCAGCCTTGTGAACTGTAGCCGCCCTGCTGTGCATTCAATCCATATGGGGTTCTTTAAACATCAGACTCTACCATGGGGACTTCACACGTTTCTCCACATGGGCACAAATGGTATTTTTTGTTTTTTTGTTTGTTTGTTTGTTTTGAGACAGAGTCTCGCTTTGTCGCCCAGGCCAGAGTGCAGTGGTGCGATCTCGGCTCATTGCAACCTCCGCCTGCCAGGTTCAAGTGATTCTCCTGCCTCAGCCTCCCAAGTGGCTGCAACTACAGGCACCTGCCACCATCTGGCTAATTTTTTTGTATTTTTAGGAGAGACGGGGTTTCGCCACATTGGTCAGGCTGGTCTCGAACTCCTGGCCTCAAGTGATCCACCTGCCTCAGCCTCCCAAAGTGCTGGGATTACAGGTGTGCACCACCGGGCATGGCCACAAATGGTGTTTAAAGTGCAATAGTCCTTCACCATGTGAGACTGTCTTGTCCATTATAGGAACACGTAACTCGACATTGCTAATACTTCCTTTCCCATTGAACACCTGTTGGAGACCTAATTATTGTGAAACAACAACAACAAAAAAGCCACTACTCTCATACCTTTCAAATATCCCTGGATGGGGCGATGGGAAGTGAGGGTGGTGCTCCCCCTGGTTGAAAAGCTGTGTTTGGATGCCGGGAGAAAACAATCTTCCTCCTCTTCCTTCCCCTCTAAGCTCAGCTCTGTTCTTCTCTAGCCATAGATCCCACAGCTGCCCAGGGAATGATGGGTTGGACCAGCTGAGCCTTAACCGCTTTCTGTGGAACCTGCACTCTCAGCTCTGTTGGGATCTGCTGTAGGGCAGGATGGTGGCTTTCTTCTTCCTGTACTTTTCACTGGGGACAGAGGACAGAATTGGGCACAATGAGCCACGTAATACTTTTTTTTTTTTTCTTTGAGACGGAGTCTCGCTCTGTCACCCAGGCTGCAGTGCAATGGCAAGATCTCGGCTCACTGCAACCTCCACCTCCTGGGTTTAAGCGATTCTCCTGCCTTAGCCTCCCAAGTCGCTGGGATTACAGGCGCCTGCCACCATGCCCAGCTAATTTTTGTACTTTTAGTAGAGATGGGGTTTCACCCATGTTGGCCAGGCTGGTCTTGAACACCTGAGCTCAAGTGATCAGCCCACCTCGGCCTCCCAAAGTGCTGGGATTGCAGGCTTGAGTCACCGTGCCCAGCCCTTAATACATTTTTGATAACTTGAATCAATACTTAAAACTTCAGAGTCAGATTGAGTAGTAGGTGACTCTCACCTGCGGGGAACTCTTCCTCCACACGAAGGGAAAAACATTGCTTCCTGTGTAATATTTATTAATACTTCCTCTCCGTTCTTTCTATTTTGTGCTTCTGGACCAGCATTTAGTCCAATATTGGGATATACATATTTATTTATTTATTATATTTATTTATTTTGAGACAGGGTCTCACTCTGTCGCCCAGGCTGGAGTGTAGTGGCTAGATCACGGCTCACTGCAGCCTCGACCTCCCAGGCTAAAGTAATCCTCCCATCTCAGCCTTCTGAGTAGCTGGGACCACAGGTGTGTGCCATCATGCCGGACTAAATTTTGTATTTTTTGTAGAAGCCGGGTTCCACCATATGGCCCAACTTGGTCTCGAACTCTTGGACTCAAGTGATCCTCTCATCTTGGCCTCCCAAAGTGCCAGGACTACAGGCGTTAGCCACTGTGCTTGGTCATATGTATTTATAATACATTCTTTCTTTCTTTTTTTTTGGAGAGGGAGTCTCACTCTGTCACCCAGGCTGGAGTGCAGTGGCGTAATTTCAGCTCACTGCAACCTCCCTCTCAGGTTCAAGTGACTCTCCTGCCTCAGCCTCTCAAGTAGCTGGGATTACAGGCGCCCACCACCATGCCTGGCTAATTTTTGTGTGTTAGTAGAGACGGGGTTTCACCATGTTGGCGAGGCTGGTCTCGAACTCCTGACCTCAAGTGATCTGCCCACCTTGGCTTCCCAAAGTGCTGGGATTACAGGCATGAGCCACCACGCCCAGCCTGTATTTATAATACATTTCTTTTACATTTTATTTTATATGTTTCCAACATTTTACCCAGTTTGGCAGGAATTCCATTCTATCCATGGCATCCATTTGCTTGTAATTGGTAGCCAGTCTTACTGGTGCAGATGTAAAATGTCAACAGTTGCCAGGTGCTGTGGCTCATGCCTATAATCCCAGCACTCTGGGAGGCCGAGGTGGGCGGATCACAAGGTCAAGAGATCGAGACCATCCTGGCCAATATGGTGAAACCCCATCTCTACTAAAAATACAAAAATTAGCTGGGCGTGGTGGTGCATGCCTGTAATCCCAGCTACTCAGGAGGCTGAGGCAGGAGAATTGCTGGAACCCGGGAGGCAGAGGTTGCAGTGAGCCGAGATCTCACCACTGCACTGCAGCCTGGGCGACAGAGCGAGACTCCGTCTCAAAAAAAAAAAAAAAAAAAAAGTCAACATTTATGTTTTGTTGTTACATTTTGTTTTCAAGATTTGTTGCTGTTTCTTGTTAATAGTCTTATTATTTTTCGTAAATATCATTCTTATTTTATAACTATTGTCTCCTCTGTTATAACTCTGAGGATGTGCTTATCAAAGCAATATTCCTCCTCTTCCTCCACTAACCACAGGTTGGTCCTTCTCTATCCACAGACCACACAGCTGCCAAGGGTAGCATGCGCTAGAGCTGCCGATCCTTAGAGTTTCCTGTGCAGCCAGCATTTCCAGCTGTTTGAGAGCCGCACCAGGACAGGACGATGGCTTTCTTCCCATCCTCCTCACTTAGGACAGGACGGGGTGGGCACAGGGACCCATCCAGCAAGTTATTATTTTTGTAGTTATTAAGATAGAAAGTATAGGCCGGGCATGGTGGCTCACACCTGTAATCCCGCCTCAGCCTCCCAAAGTGCTGGGATTACAGCGGTAAGTCATCATGCCCAGACGATTATTTTTTATTTGTATACGTTTATGGGGTACAAGTGTAACTTTATTGCATGGATAGATTCCAAAATGATGAAGTTAGGGCTTTCAGGTATCCACTAACCCAGTGACACACATTGTATCCATTAGATAATTCTTTTTTTTTGATGGAGTCTTGCTCTGTGACCCAGGCTGGAGTGCAGTGGCGTGATCTCAGCTCACTGCAACCTCCGCCTCCCGGGTTCAAGCGATTCTCCTGCCTCAGCCTCCTGAGTAGCTGGGACTATGGGCGTGTGCCACCACGCCCGGCTAATGTATCCATCATCATAACACACAACCATTTGAATGAATCTCACAGGCATTGTGCTGAGTGAAAAAGGTCACCCTCAGAAGGTGAGGCGATGGACGATTCCATTTATACAAGAGTCTCAAAGTGACAAAGTGATAGAGACGTAGAACAGATTAGCAGGTGCTAGGGTGGGAGAGCGATTATAAAGGGGCAGCATGAGGGAGTTCCTACGTGGTGGTGGGACAGTTCTGTGTCTTGATTGTGGCGGTGGTTCTATAAAGCCATACATACAGGCAATAAAATGTTACAGAACTATACCCATAGGCAAAGAAAAGGGAGGAGGAAAAGAAGGTGGAAGAGGAGGAAGAGCAGGAGAAAAGAAGGAAAAGGAGAAAAGGAAATAGAAATAGAAGGAAGAGGAAGAGAAAAAGAGAAACGAATTATGCACAAACTGGTGAGATCTGAGTGACCTCTGGAACCTGGTTAAACGTGTGATGCCAGTGCAAAGTCTCTGGTTTTGAAAATGTGCCATACGCCGGGCGTGGTGGCTCACGCCTGTAATCCCAGCAGTTTGGGAGGCCGAGGCAGGCGGATCGCCTGAGGTCAGAAGTTCGAGACCAGCCTGGGCAACATGGCAAAACCTCGTTTCTACTAAAAAGAACAAAAAAAATTAGCCAAGAGTGGTGGCGGACACCTGTCATCCCGGCAACTCGGGAGGCTGAGGCAGGAGAATCGCTTGAACCCGGGAGGCAGAGGTTGCAGTGAGCCAAGATTGTGCCACTGCACTCCAGCCTGGCTGACAGAGATTCTGTCTCAAAAAAAAAAAAAAAAAAAAAAAGTACTGTAATTATAAGAGATTACCATTGGCCGGGCACAGTGGCTTATGCCTGTAATCCCAGCACTTTGGGAGGCTGAGGTGGGCGGGTCACTAGAGACCAGGAGTTCAAGACCAGCCTGGCCCACATGGTGAAATCCCATCTCTACAAAAAATTAGCTGGGTGTGGTGGTGCATGCTTGTAATCCCAGCTACTTGGGAGTCTGAGGCAGGAGAATCCTTAAACCCATGAGGCAGAGGTTGCAGTGAGCCGAGATCGCGCCACTGCACTCCAGCCTGGGTGACAGAGCAAGACTCTGTCCCCCCCGCCCCCCAAAAAAAGGTTAACATTGTGGGGAGCTGGCTAGTGGGTACACGGAAGCTATAAAGCTATAGGTATTAATGTTTGTTTGTTTGCTTGTTTGAGACAGTTTCACCGTTGTTGTCCAGGCTGGAGTGCAGTGGCACAATCTTGGCTCACAGCAACCTCCGCCTCCTGGGTTCAAGCCATTCTCCTGTCTCAGCCTCCGGAGTAGCTGGGATTACAGGCATGCGCCACCATGCCTGGCTAATTTTGTATTTTTAGTAGAGA
This sequence comes from Homo sapiens, assembly GCF_000001405.40. Lineage (NCBI taxonomy): Eukaryota > Metazoa > Chordata > Mammalia > Primates > Hominidae > Homo > Homo sapiens. The sequence continues at coordinate 38,587 of NW_003571055.2, read as the reverse complement.
CGGGGGTTTCTCCATTTTGGTCAGGCTGGTCTTGAACTCCCGACCTCAGGTGATCCGCCCGCCTCAGCCTCTCAAGGTGCTGGGATTACAGGCGTGAGCCACCGCGTCCGGCCGGTATTAGTGTTTTAAAATAAAAAATTACATTTACAGAAAACTCTTGGCAGAACTTCAGATAAGGTAGGACAGAGCTCGGGCGGGTGGGGCCACACACACCGGATTCATGGGGAAGAAGTTATCATCGACGGCTTCTTGTTTCCTGAGTCGGTTGTGAGAAGGAAACTGCAAGAGTGGGGCAGAGAACCAGAGTGTCAGAGCAAAACCTCCTCTATCTGCACATCCTGGGGACGAACCGGGCAGCCGGAGAGCTGCGGCCGGCCCAGTCCCGCTCCGCCTTTGAAGGGTAAAACCCAAGGCGGGGCCTTGGTTCTGGCAGAAGGGACGCTATGACCGCAGAATTCCTCTCCCTGCTTTGCCTCGGTGAGTCTCCAGGACTGGGACGAATGGGCTTGGGCTGGTGAGAAAAACTCATGTGGGAGTGGCAGTCCAGGTGGAAATGCGGTGTGTGGAAGTAATGACTTCCAGGTGTTGCACACCTGCGGTGGGTGGGTCTGGGCTGTGGGTTCTGTGAGTTCTGCCGCCCACATGCAAGCGAGGAGGAGGCCGCGCTGCAGAGACACGGGGACAGACTCCGCTGGGAAAGGCAGAGCTGCTGTGGGGTCTCCGAGTCTGCAGCCGCTAAATACCGCAGTACTGCCATCATCCTCCGTCGGAATAGAGGAGGGCTGGGCTTAGGGATCTACAGGGTGCAAGGCTGTGGGCAAAAAGACAATTTTCTTCTCTCTCTCTCTTATTTATTTATTTATGTATGTATGCATTTATTTATGAGACAGAGTCTCACTCTGTAGCCCAGGCTGGAGTGCAATGGCGTGATCTGGGCTCACTGCAACCTCCGTCTCCCAGGTTCAAGCGATTCTCCTGCCTCAGCCTCCCGAGTAGGTGGGACTACAGGTGCAGGCCACCACACCCGGCTGACTTTTGTATTTTAAGTAGAGACGGGGTTTCACCATGTTGGTCAGGCTGGTCTCGAGCCCCTGACCTCAGGTGATCCGCCCGCCTCAGCCTCCCAAAGTGCTGGGATTACAGGCGTGAGCCACCACACCTGGCCCCAAGAAGACAATTTTCTGACCAGCTCGATTCTTAGGCTGATTTTAACCATCCTCCAATTGAACCTGATGTATTCAGACAGAGCTCACACTGTGAAACGGATGACCTGGGTTATAATCTCGGCTTTACTACATAGAAACTCTAGGCTTGACCCAGCAGAGCTCCACCTCCCTAAGGCCCCAGTTCCTCCCTGGTGCACGGGGGGTGCGGTGGACATCGACGTGCTTCGTCTGCTTCAGTTCCTTCCTCCTTTTCTGGGTGCAGCCCTTCCTTGTGGGGTAATGCTCGTCTCCTACACACATTTGCACCTTAGATGAGCATTTTTTTTTTTTTTTGACAGAGTCTTGCTTTGTCTCCCAGGCTGGAGTGCAGTGGTGTGATCTCAGCTCACTGCAACCTCCACCTCCTGGGTTCAAGCGATTCTCCTGCCTCCGCCTCCCGAGAAGCTGGGATTATAGGCACACGCCACCACGCCTGGCTAATTTTTTGTGTTTTTAGTAGAGATGGGGTTTCACCATGTTGGCCAGGCTGGTCTCAAACTCCTGAACTCAGGTGATCTACCCACTTCAACCTCCTAAAGTGCTGGGATTACAGGTGTGAGCCACTGCACCCGGCTATTTGTGCCTTAGAGATGACTATCGGGTTCATACCCAAGCCTCCAGCTGCTGAGCACAGTAAGCTGGGCAACCAGGAGACTGACCTCATCCCCCAATGGCTGCCATACCAAAGTACTACAAGCCTGGTGGCTTAAAGGAATTAGAATTGCTTTAAGTTGGGGAGATGAGAAGTCTGAAACCAAGGTGTTTGCAATGTTGATTCCTTCTGAGAACTATGAAGGAGCGTCTGTTTTATGCCCCTCTTCTAGTGATGGCTGACAATTCTTGGCATTTTTTTTTTTTCTTGAGGCGGAGTCTTGCTCTGTCACCCAGGCTAGAGTGCAGTGGCATGATCTTTCTCACTGCAACCTCCACCTCCTGGGTTCAATCAATTCTCCTGCCTTAGCCTCCCAAGTAGCTGGGATTACAAGCATGGACCACCATGCCTGGCTAATTTTTGTATTTTTAGTAGAGACAGGGTTTCACCACGTTGGCCAGGCTGGCCTCGAACTCCTGACCTCAGGTGATCTGCCCGCCTCAGCCTCCCAAACTGTTGAGATTACAGGCGTGAGCCAGCGCTCCCGGCATTCTTTAACTTGTAGATGCATCACTCCAATCGTTGGCTCTGTTTTTTTTTTTCTTTTCTTTAGACAGGGTCTCACTCAGTTGCCCAGGCCGGAGTGCAGTGGTACCACCATAGCTCACTGCAGCCTCAACCTCCTGAGCTCAAGCAGTCCTCCCCGCAGCCTTCTGAGCAGCTAGGACTACAGGTGCACACCACCATGTTGGACTAATTAAAATAATTTCTGTTTTAGAGATGGGATCTTGCTATATTGCCCAGGCTAGTCTCCAACTCCTGGGCTCAAGCAATTCTCCTATCTTGGCATCCCAAAGCACTATGATTGCAGCCTGGCCTCTCTGCCTCTGTCTTCGCATGGCCGTCTTCCTTCTGTGTGTCTCTGTCTCTCTTTTTCTCTTCTTGTAAGTTATATTGGATTAGATACCCAGCCTACTCTAGTATGACCTCATCTTAGTTTAATTAATTACATCTGCAAAGATCAGACAATGCTATTTTCAAATAAGGTCACATTCGCAGGTCCTGGGAGTTACAACTTGAACTTCTCTTTTCAAGAAACACAAATCAGCCAGGTGTGGTGGCTCACGCCTGTAATCTCAGGACTTTGGGAGGCCCAGGCGGGCAGATCTCTTGAGGTCAGGAGTTTGAGACCAGACTGGCCAACATGGTGAAACCCCGTCTCTACTAAAAATACAAAAATTAGCTGGGCATGGTGGCAAGGACCTGTAATCCCAGCTACTCGGGAGGCTGAGGCAGGAAAATCGCTTGAACCTGGGAGGCAGAGGTTGCAGTGAGCTAAGATAGCACCGCTGCCCTCCAGCCTGGGTGACAGAGGGAGACTCCATGTCAAAAAAAAAAAAAAAAAAAGAAAAGAAAAAGAATATGGGAATTGGGCTGGGTGCAGGTAGCTCACACCTGTAATCCCAGCATGTTGGGAGGCCAAGGTGGGAGAATCACTTGAACTCAGGTGTTCGAGACCAGCCTGGGCAACATCGTGAGTCCTCATCTCTACAAAAAAATTTTAAAATCAGCCAGCGTGGTGGTGCATGCCTGTAGTCCCAGTTATTTGGGAGGCTGAGATGGATGGATCACTTGAGCCCAGGAGGTTGAGGCTGCAGTGAGCTGTGACTGCACCCTGGCACTCCAGCCTGGGCCACAGAGTGAGACCCTGTCTCAAAAAGAAAAAAGAATATAGGAATCACTGTTTGAACAGACGATGGGTGGATAGCAGAGATGAGATGACATGAATCTAAAAGCGGGATTTGGGGAGGGTCTCAAAACAGAGCCTGAGTCCTGGGATGCCCTGCCCACCCAGAGGCTGTTTCCTACCTGCCAATCCCAGCTAATCTCGCTGCCAACGCAGCTTCGGTCCATCGTGAGGCCTCCACCTCATTCCTCTGTGGTGAAGCTTGGTGGGGGGTCACGTTCTGTATCGGCACCTGTGTCAACAAGGAACCAATGTCCTGAGACACTGTCGTGGCTCTAGAGAATTTCTACCTAAATTCTACGTAACTTCACCCTGAAACAAGCCCCATGACTGACATCCCATTTTCCACCCAAGTTTAAGACGCTACCTTCCCAGCGGGGAATGTAGAGAACAGAACACAGAAGAGGGAGGGGATAATGTAAGTGGAAACCAAAGCTAAAGTGAGGAGAGTATTTGGGACCAGAAGACACGGGGAAGGGGGAGCAGATTCTCTCTATTGGAATTGAGCAAGAAAACCCTCCTCTCGGCCGGGCGCGGTGGCTGATGCCTGTAATCCCAGCACTTTGGGAGTCCGAGGCGGGTGGATCACGAGGTCAGGAGATCAAGACCATCCTGGCTAACACAGTGAAACCCCGTCTCTACTAAAAATACAAAAAAATTAATTAGCTGGGCTTGGTGGCGGGTGCCTGTAGTCCCAGCTACTCGGGAGGCCGAGGCAGGAGAATGGCGTGAACCCGGGAGGCAGAGCTTGCGGTGAGCCGAGATCGCGCCACTGCACTCCAGCCTGGGTGACAGAGCGAGACTCCATCTCGAAAAATAAAAAAAAAAAAAAAACCCACCACTCTCACTCCACGATAAAATAACCTTTGCATTATTTAAGTGGCAAGGGTAAAACTGCAATCAGGCCGGGCACGGTGGCTCATGCCTGTAATCCCAGCGCTTTGGGAGGCTGAGGCGGGTGGATCACTTGAGCTCAGGAGTTTGAGACCAGCCTGGGCAACATGGTGAAACCCCATCTCTACAACAACAACAACAAAAATTAGCTGGGCACGATGGCACACACCTGTAGTCCCAGCTACTCTGGAGCCTGAGGTACGAGTATCACTTGAACCCAGGGGGTGGAGGAGGTTGCAGTGAGCTGAGACTGCACCACTGCACTCCAGCCTGGGTGACACAGCGAGACTCTGTCTCAAAACAAAACAAAACACTGCAATCACAGAAAATACCAGAAAAAAGCATAGGTGAATGTTGAACAATTTCTAGATGGTGAAAGGATTACTCATGAAAGCAATTCAATACATCAGAAAAGGTTGCTGGGCCGGGGGCAGTGGCTCACGCCTGTAATCCCAGCACTTTGGGAGGCCGAGGCGTGTGGATCACCTGAGGTCAGGAGTTCAAGACCAGCCTGGCCAACATGGTGAGACCCTGTCTCTACTAAAAATGCAAAAATTAGCCAGGTGTGGTGGCGGGTGCCTGTAGTCCCAGCTACTCGGGAGGCTGAGGCAGGAAAATTGCTTGAACCTGGGAGGCGGAGGTTGCAGTGAACTGAGATCATGTCATTGCACTCCAGCCTGTGCAACAGAGCAAGACTACATTTCAAAAAAAAAAAAAAAAAAAGAAAGAAGAAGTTGCTGGAATTTTCTCCATACACGTAGCTTCTGAATGACAAACAATGGAACAAAAGTAAGAGGTAAGTCTGGGGAGATATCTGCCAAAAATATATACATATATGTAATACATATATTTAATATATATATTATATTTATATATGTATTATATGTAATATGTGTACATATACTTAATACATTTATTATATATAATACATATATACATTATATATATATATATATCTCAGACCTATAAAGAGCTAGTCATACGTTCTCTGCTGGATTTGTACTCAAGGACAAGCACATAATTTTTCTCTCATTGAGATTTCTCTTCCAGGGCTGTGTCTGGGCTACGAAGATGAGAAAAAGAATGGTGAGTTTTCTCCTACTTAAACTTTTATTCCTGCATCCCACGCTTCATGACCTTTTCCTTTAATCGTCTGAATTCTAGACTCAAATTAACTCTGAATTGTTTCCAGAGAAACCGCCCAAGCCCTCCCTCCACGCCTGGCCCAGCTCGGTGGTTGAAGCCGAGAGCAATGTGACCCTGAAGTGTCAGGCTCATTCCCAGAATGTGACATTTGTGCTGCGCAAGGTGAACGACTCTGGGTACAAGCAGGAACAGAGCTCGGCAGAAAACGAAGCTGAATTCCCCTTCACGGACCTGAAGCCTAAGGATGCTGGGAGGTACTTTTGTGCCTACAAGACAACAGCCTCCCATGAGTGGTCAGAAAGCAGTGAACACTTGCAGCTGGTGGTCACAGGTGAGAAGGGCAGATGTACTCTTTGATGCACACATTTCTTTGGTTTGGCTTTGCTTTTTTTTTTTTAAGACAGAGTCTTGCTGTGTCTCCCAGGCTGGAGTGCAGTGGCACGATCTCGGCTCACTGCAACTTCTGCCTCCTGGGTTCAAGCAATTCTCCCTCCTCAGCCTCCCGAGTAGCTGGGACTACAGGCGCCCGCCACCACGCCCAGCTAATTGTTTGTGTTTTTAGTAGAGATGGGGTTTCGCCATGTTAGCCAGGATGGTCTCCATCTCCTGACCTTGTGATCCACCTGCCTCCGCCTCCCAAAGTGCTGGGATTACAGGCATGAGCCACCGCGCCCGGCCTAATTTTTGTATTTTTAATAAAGATGAGGTTGTACCATATTGGTGAGGTTGATCTCAAACTCCTGACCTCAAGTGATCCATCTGCCTCGGCCTCCCAAAGGGCTGGGATTATAAACGTGAACCTCCACACCCAGCCTTTTTTTTTTTTTTGAGAGGGAGTCTTGCTCTGTTGCCCAGGCTGGAGTACAGTGGCATGATCTCAGCTCACTGCAACCCCCGCCTCCTGGGTTCATGCAATTCACCTGCCTCAGCCTCCCGAGTAGCTGGAACTACAGGGGTGCGCCACCACACCTGGCTAATTTTTGTATTTTAGTAGAGACAGGGTTTTACCATGTTGGCCAGGCTGATCTCGAACTGCTGACCTCAAGTGATCTGCCCACCTCAGCCTCCCAAAGTGCTGAGATTACAGGAGTGAGCCACTGCGCTCGGCTGCTTTTTTTTTTTTTGACAGAATCTCGCTCTGTCACCCAGGCAGGAGTGCAGTGGCATGAACACAATTCACTGCAGCCTCGACCTCCCAGGCTCAAGCGATTTTCCCACATCAGCCTCCCAAGTAGCTGGGAGTACAGGCAAGCACCACCATGCCTGGCTAATTTTTAAATTACTTGTTGAGACAGGATCTATGTTGCCCAGGCTGGTCTTGAACTCCTGAGCTCAGGTGATCCTCCTGCCTTGGCCTCCCAAAGTGCTGGGATTACAGGCGTGAGTCACCAAAGCCTGCCTGATGCACGTATTTCTTTTCCTGTCGTGGGACATGGCTGGGGAAGAAGGAATCTAGGAGACAAAAAGATAGATGCAGGCCAGGCACGGCGCGGTGGCTCATGCCTGTAATCCCAGCACTTTGGGAGGCAGAGGTGGGCAGATCACTTGAGGTCGGGAGTTCGAGACCAGCCTGGCCAACATGGTGAAACCTCACCTCTACTTAAAATACAAAAATTAGCTGGGCGTGGTGGCAGGCGCCTGTAATCCCAGCTACTAGGGAGGCTGAGGCAGGAAGAGAATCTCTTGAGCCCAGAAGGCAGAGGTTGTAATGAGCTGAGATTGTGCCACTGCACTGCAGCCTGGATGAAAGAGCAAGACTCCGTCTAAAAAAAAAAAAGAAGAAGAAGGATAGATGCAACACCTTCAATGTGGAAATGGGAACCGAATGTGGAGCAAGATTCTCATCAGAGATTCTGAGAGGGTCCCAATGATGTGGATGTGGGAGGGTGGTGTAGAATATGGTCAGTTAATAGAAAATTGGGGTATGGTAAGACTGACAGACCAAGTGATGATTGCCATGGAAAAGATGGTCTGTTACAGTTCCCAAGAGGAGGAGGAAGGCTATACTGGGGGGAGTATGTGGGGAAGCACCAGGGTCAATGAGGGGCAGAGGGAGGAGGAAGAACTGTGGACCAGAGCTTTGATTGTATTTTGTGGGGAGAACAAGATTAGAGTTGGCCAGGTGTGGTGGTTCATGCCTGTAATCCTAGCACTTTGGGAGGCCTAGGAGGGTGGATCACCTGAGGTCAGGAGTTTGACATCAGCCTGGGTAACATGGCGAAACTCCATCTCTACAAAAATACAATAATTACCTGGGTGTGGTGGTGTGCACCTGTGCTTTCAGCTACTCGGGAGGCTGAGGCACGAGAATTGCTTGAACCCCAGAGGCAGAGGCTGCGGTGAGCCAAGATCGTGCCACTGCACTCAAGCCTGGGTGATAGAATGAGAACCTGTCTCAAAAAAAAAAAAAAAAAAAAAAAAAGAAAAGAAAAGAAAAGAAAGAAAGAAAAGAAAAACAAAAAAAGAATTGGCTTTGGGGTGTAGAGGCTGTCCCTGGTTGTCTAGTTCTTGGACCTGGGGTGATTAGGAGAGGACAACATTGACCTTGAGTGTGAGAGCCCCATAATTAAGGTGGTTGAGAGTATGGGCTCTGGATCTATTGGCTTGCATTTGAGGGACATCCTTGAGGACAAGTTGTTTACTGGCTCTAGAAATTAACTAACCCTGCGAGGGGAGGTCCCACCAAGGGCAGCAAGGCCCCAAGATGTTAAAGCATCAAATGCAGAAGATGAAAGACATGGTTAATACGGAGAGATGGATGAGATAGTCCCCAAGTGCAGTAGAAAATGGAAAAGCCCTGGCCCTTCTCTTTACCTCCATTGCCTTGTCCTCTTCAGGATCACTCCCAGAACCTTTGCTCTCAGTCAATGTAGACCCTGGGATGACTCCAGGTCTCAGGACACTTCGATGTCTCACTCCATACAATGGAACCGAATGTATTGTAATTGCTCTGTTGAAAATGGGGATCCCAGAACCATTACAAGTCAGGCAAGTAAGAAAAAACCAGACTGATTTCATGCTCTGGAACGTGACAAGTAATGACAGTGGAAACTACAGCTGTGTGTATTACCTGAGCAACTCATCACACTTGGCCTCCTTCCCCAGCAACAAGCTGGAGATCTGGGTGACAGGTGAGGATAGAGTGATAACACTGGCATTTGACATGTATCCAGCATTTTCTATGTTCCTGTCTCCACGACAGGTAACTTGCCTCCACTAACTCATTCAGTCTTCACTTCCTATGAGGGTGGTTGTGTTACTAACTTCTTTTTGCTCATAGAGATTAGGTGACCTCCCCGGTGTCACAAAAACAATGAGCTTCACAGTTGCTATTCAGACATAAATGAAAATTTATATTTCATTATGCCAGAGAAGGAAAGCCAGAAAGAGTGTCCAGTGCTCTATGAGGGATGTAGGAATGGCAAATAATGGATTGTGGGGCTAAGAGATCCCATTGTGTGGAAAAGTATGGGAGGCACGGTGCAGGTAACTGAAAAAAAAATGATGAGGACCACAGTGAGAAGATGCACGTGGGAGGATTGTAACATACATGACTTGAGATCCCAAGGAAGAGGGATAAAGAATAATTTTGCATCACTTTCATCTACCCATTTATCTACTCACCCATCCATCTATCAATCTACCCACCCATCTATCAACCCACCCACCCATCTACCCACCTACCAACCCATCCACCCTCCTACCCACTCATTCACCCATCCATCCACTCACTTATCCATCTATCCATCAACTCATCCATCCATCCATCCATCCATCCATCCATCCATTCATCTATCCATTAATCCATCCAACCACCAACCCTTCCATTCATCTGTCCACCCACCCCTTCATCCATCTATCTACCTACCTACCCATCTATTTACCCAGCCACTCATTTGTCCATCCTTCCACCCATTCATCCACTCATCCACCCTTTCACCCATTCACTCACCCCCACCCACCTATCCATCTATCCATCCATCCATCCATCCATCCATCCATTCATCCATTCATTTATTAGTCACTAAACAATACCTCTCAACTGACCACAGTTGCTTCCAGTAGGTCAGTCCTGCCATATCATGGGAAATCCCTGGAGAGACTTTACAGTCATCAGTGTAGTGTAGAAGTAGCCGTGGGTCCACACCAATGACTTAGCCTGGGCTTGGGGCATGATGAGTAACTGAATACTTAATGTTTCACCTCTGATTTACCCTCTTTCTGAGGCTCTTGATCAATGATACTCCAACAAGGTGCTCATCACTTTGATATTGATTTCAAATTGTATTCCCCATAACTCGTTCTTGTAGTCTTAAGAATTTCTGCACCCACACTTTAGCCCTAAAAGCCTCGCGATTATTTGCCATTTCCCAATTATGTTCTCTGGCATATCATCTACTGTTTCCTGATTTCTTCACCTCTATCGCAGCTGTACCATTACATCACAAGACAGGCTATAGTATCAATTTCCAGTGGTTGATTTTCCAGGTCAGCCTTCCATATACAATCTGTTTGCTGCTTTGCAAATCACTTTATTATACTACTTTTTACTTTTTTATTATACTACTTTTTACTTATTACAAAATGGGCATATAAATGCTTCCATTACAAAAAAAAATTAATGCAAAATACCTGGCACAAAAATAGCTGCCCATTCACCCTACAAATTCAGATACTTTGGTAGATCCTGAGCATATTGTAGGAACTGAGACAGACCAGGTCTCTGGCCAACAGGAGCTCACATTCTTCTTTGGAAGAAAGAAAGAAATAAGAGCAAGCTATCAGAGTAATTAAAAAACACATTATAGATGGAGAATAACTGTGAGAGGCATTGTATTAGTGATCTACAGCTGCATAACAAATTACCACTAATTTAGCAGCCTGAAACACCTATTTATTATCTCACAGTTGATGTGGGTCAGGAGTCCAGGCACAGCTTAGCTGAGTCCTCTGCTTTGGGTCTCATAAGGATGCAATCAAGGTGTCAACAAGGGCTGTGTTCTCATCTGGCTCATCTGGAGGCTTGACTGGGGAAGGGTCCATTTCTCCACTCCTGTGGTTGATAGCAATATCTGGTTCTTTATAGCTGTAGGATTCATGCTAGAATGATTCTGCAGCACTTGCAAGAAGAGAGATTGAGAGAGAGAGAAGAAAGAGAGAGCAAATGCCCTAGCAAACAGAGTTTTATGTAATGTAACATAATCAAGAGCATAACATCCCATCACCTTTGCCATAGCTATTGGTGAGAAGAAAGTCACAGATCTCCACACTCAAGGTGAGGGGATTAGACAAAGGCATGAACACCAGGAAGCAGGGCTCCTGAGTCTCCTGAGTGCCCCCTTAGGGTCTATCTGCCACAAGCATGAAGGATGAGAATGACCCAACCACACCGATATCTGGAGAACAGCCCTCCAGGGAGAGAGAGCAGCAAAAGCAAAGTCTCAGAAGTGTGAGTGTTCCTGGAATGATTGAGACACAGAAAGGAGGACATAAGGCAGGGCCTAGAGCATCTAGGATCTTGTGGGTGTTTGAACTGGTCCTAGAGTCTGCTTTGAAAGAACAGGAACCCACTGATGAAGTTGAGCTGGAGGATGGCATGATTTTATTTATATGCTGGAAGGGTCACTGGCTGCTTTTTTTTTTTTTTTTTTTTTTGAGACAGGGTCCCACTCGGTTGCCCAGGCTGGAGTGCAGTGGTGCAATCACAGCTCACTGCAGCCTTGACCTCCCAGGCCCAGGTAATCCTCCCACCTCAGCCTCCCAAGCATCTGAGATTACAGGCACAGGCCATCATGCCCGGCCTCTGGCTGCTTTTGGAAAATAAGGGACTAGATGTAGTAAGAGTTGGTGCGTTTCAGGCAATACGACTTTTTAAATTTAAAAATATCAAATTGACAAATGAAGATTGTATATATTCAAGGTATACAATCTGATGATTTGATCCACCTGTACATTGTGTAATGATTATCACAGTCAAATTAATTAGCACATCCATTGCCACCATGCTGAGCACCTGAACTTCTTCATCTTAGAACTGGAAACTTATACCCTTTCATCAACATCTCCGCATATATCATGCTAAACAAAATAAGCCAGACTCAGAAAGACAAATTCTGCAGGATCTCACTCATATGTGTAGTCTAAAAAAGCCAAACTCACAGAAGCAACTGGTGGTTGCCAGGGACTGGTGAGTAGGTGATATTTCATTTCATTTTTATTTTTATTTTTATTTTTTTTTTGAGACGGAGTCTGGCTCTGTCCCTCAGGCTGGAGTGCAGTGGCGCGATCTCGGCTCACTGCAAGCTCCGCCTCCCGGGTTCACGCCATTCTCCTGCCTCAGCCTCCCGAGTAGCTGGGACTACAGGGGCCCGCCACCACGCTCGGCTAACTTTTTGTATTTTTAGTAGAGACGGGGTTTCACCATGTTAGCCAGGATGGTCTCGATCTCCTGACCTTGTGATCTGCCCGCCTCGGCCTCCCAAAGTGCTGGGATTACAGGCGTGAGCCACTGCGCCCGGCCAAGTAGGTGATATTTTAACTTAGACTAAATGGTGCCACTGTGGAGATAGAAATATAGGCCAGGTGCAGTGGCTCATGCCTGGAATCCCAGTATTCTGAGTGGCCAAGGCAGGTTGATCACTTGAGGCCAGGAGTTTGAGACCAGCCTGGCCAACATGGTGAAACCCTGTCTCTACTAAAAATACAAAAATTAGCAGGGTGTGGTGGCGGGCGCCTGTAGTCCCAGCTACTTGGAAGGCTGAGGCAGGAGAATCTCTTGAACCCGGGAGGCGGAGGTTGCAGTGAGCTGAGATCATGCCACTGCACTCCAGCTTGGGTAACAGTGCAAGACTCAAAAAAAATAAAAGAAAGAAAGAATTTGGGTGAATGGTGTTCTTTGTCAAGATAGAGAAGACTGGCAAGGAATCAAACTGGAGGGGGCGTTAGCAGGGTCATTCATAAATATTTTTGTTATTAAAAATACTATCAAACTCCAGGACTATTAAGAAGAGTAATCTGAGGCTCTGTCCATGCTCTGAGGACCCAGGGAGCATCTAGGGAATGGAGAAGCCATTCTCTTTTCTGCTTCCCAAAGAAGAACAGGATGTCTATAAGTAGGACGTGAGGACTCCTGTCCCCAAGGTTCCTGTATGATTAGTGTAATTCCTTTTCTTCCCTCCTATTTTCTAGATAAACACGATGAACTTGAAGCTCCCTCAATGAAAACAGGTAAGATAATTAGAAAGGAGATGTTTTTCCCAATGAGATCTGCTTCATGATCACCTTTGCTTAAAGTGCACAAGGAGAACTTTATTTATTTGTTTGTTTGTTTGTTTGTTTGTTTTTTGAGATAGAGTCTCGCTTTGTCACCAAGGCTGGAGTACAGTGGCGCAATCTCAGCTCACTGCAACCTTCGCCTCCCGGATTCAAGCAATTTTCCTGCCTCAGCCTCCCGAATAGCTGGGACTACAGGCACGCACCACCACACCCAGCTAATTTTTGTATTTTTAGTAGAGACGGGGTTTCACCATGTTGGCCAGGCTGGTCTCGAACTCCTGACCTTGTGATCTGCCCGCCTCAGCCTCCCAAAGTGCTGGGATTACAGGCGTGAGCCACCGCACACGGCCTATTTATTTTTTTGAGAAAGAGTCTTGTTCTGTCCCCCAGGGTGGCGTGAAGTGGCACAATCTCAGCTCACTGCAACCTCCACTTCCTGGGTTCTGGGTTCAAGCAATTCTCCTGCCTCGGCCTCCCGAATAGCTGGGATTACAGGCACCCACCACCATATCCAGCTCAGTTTTGTTTTTTGTTTTTTGTTTTTAGTAGAGATGGGGTTTCACCATGTTGGCCAGGCTGGTATCAAACTCCTGACCTCAAGCAATTCCCCCGCCTCGGCCTCTCAAAGTGTTGGGATTACAGGCATGAGCCACCGCACCCGGCCTAGAAGAACTTTAAAGCCCATTTTCTCAATGTTATTGGGGAAACTGCTGTGTTTTGGGGGGTGGAGGATGAGGGGAGATAACCTCTAAAGTGCTTCCGGGTTCTGAAGAAGCTGGTGTGTAAAACAGCACAGAGTGCGTTGTTTGCCATATGACATGATGAAAAACTAGGGTGGGATTTGGGGAATAATGGGGGTGAATTTTTCAGTGACCCATTTGGGGAGTAGGACCAGGACCTACGCAGAGTAGGTACTTCAGGAATATATATAATCAAGAGTTTGTTATAACTCTAAAATTCTCAAAAATAGGTGAATATTGAATTTTTTTTCTAATGTTGCTTATTCATTAACAATTGACTAAGATTCTGTCCTCAGAGTTTCTCATAAAAATTAGAGCTTTTGGGCCAGGCGAGGTGGCTCACATCTGTAATCCCAGCACTTTGGGAGGCCGAGGTGGGCGGATCACCTGAGGTCAGGAGTTCGAAACCAGCCTGGGCAACATGGTGAAACCCTGTCTCTACTAAAAATACAAAAATTTGCTGGGCATTGTGGTGGGCGCCTGTATTCCCAGCTACTCAAGTGACTGAGGCAGGAGAATTGCTTGAACCTGGGAGGCAGAGGTTGCAGTGAGCCGAGATTACACCACTGCCCTCCAGCCTGGGCAACAGAGTGAGACTCTGTCTCCAAAAAAAAAAAAAAAAAAAAAAAATTAAAAAGTTAGAGCTTTTGGCAGCATTCGGCTGAAACAGGAACTCATCCAGACTTTAAGGGCCAAATGCAGAATATAAATTGGCATCTAGATGCTTAATCATCCTTCCTTTCAGCAAGTCATAATCTTCCTGCAACCTACTCCAAAGAGCCAAAGTTGCTGAAGGTTGTTGCTAGCAGTCTGTGCTGGTATAATCGGTTTTCAAAAAGGTATCCTCCAAAGTGTTCTTGCAAGATAACTATTTGAAACGTTTTTATTCCATGATAGTAGGCTTGGGAAATGTCTGCTACCCTAGCACTACGAACACAATTCACGTCAGGAACGTTTTCTGAGAAAGATATGAAATCTAATGGGAGAGAGGAACACAGAAGTATCAGAAACGAGGTGGGAGATCTAGTGAGGTGTGAGGGGGAGGAGGAAGAGAAGCTTTTCTATTTTGAGCTCTTGTATCATTTATTTTCTTTCTTTTTTTATTGATATATAATTCACAGTCCAAAAATTCACCCTTGTAAAGTGTCCAATTCACTGGCATTTTGTATCTTCATGAGGTAGTATAACCATCACCACTACATAATTCCAGAACATTCTCATCACCCTAAAAGAAAATCTTGTACCCATTAAGCAGTCACTCCTCATTTCCCACTTTCCCACCAGGCCCTTCCAACCATTCATATGCTTCTCTGTGTCTATGATTTTGTCTATTCTGGACATTTTGTGTAAGTGGATTCATACACTATGTGATCCTTTGTGACTAGCTCCTTTCTCTTTAGCATAATGTTTTCAAAGTTTGTCTGTACTGTAGCATGCATCAATGTTTCATTTCTTGTCATGGTGAAAAGCATCGTATTGTATGGATAGACCACATTTTGCTTATCCATTCTTTTTTTTGTTTTTGTTTTTGTTTTTTTGAGACGGAGTCTTGCTCTGTCGCCCAGGCTGGAGTGCAGTGGCACAATCTCAGCTCACTGCAACCTCCGCCTCCCAGGTTTAAGTGATTCTTTTGCCTTAACCTCCTGAGTAGCTGGACCTACAGGCGCCCGTCACCATGCCTAGCTAATTTGTGTATTTTTAGTAGAGAGGGGGTTTCACCATGTTGGCTAGGCTGGTCTCGAACTCCTGACCTCAGGTGATCCACACGCCTCAGCTTCCCAAAGTGCTGGGATTACAGACTTGAGCTACTGTGCCTGGCCCCGTTCTTCTTTTGATGGACATTTGTGTTGTCTGCACCTCTTGGCTAAAGCGAGTAATGGTGCTGGAACACTGTGGTAGGAGTATCTGTTTGTCTCCGCGCTGTAAATTATCTTGAGTATGTACCTAGAAGTGGATTTGCTAGGACATATGGTGACTATTATGTTCAACTTTTTGAGGAACTGCCAAATCATTTTCCATTGTGGCTGTATCATGTTATATTCCTTCCAGTAATATATGTGGGTTCCAATATCTCCACATCCTTGTCAACACTTACTTTTCTTTTTTTAAATTATAGCCATCCCAGTGGGTATTATATAATTTCTTAAAATGTACTTTTTGAGTTCAAATTTGTATCATCACAATTCTAAACAGAATAAAATATCTTTGCCGGGCGCAGTGGCTCACGTCTGTAATACCAGGACTTTGGGAAGATGAGGCAGGAGGATCACTTGAGCCCAGGGGTTCAAGACCAGCCTGGACAACTTGGTAAGATCCCATCTCTACAAAAAATACAAAAATTAGCCAGGCGTGGTGGTGTGCACCTGTAGTCCCAGCTACTTGGGAGGCTCAGGCAGAAAGATCGTTTGCGCCCAGGAGGTTGAGGCTTCAGTGAACTGTGATTGCGCCACAGCACTCCAGCCTGGGTGACAGAGCGAGACCCTGTTTCAGTAAATAAATAAAATAAAAGTAAAATATCTGTAAGCACAGGTATGATGTCCCCAGCCTGTATTTATATGCCTAAAACACACTAGAAAACGACTCTATGTTCAATCGCAATGTAGAGAATGAAGATGAATTTTATCACACAAGACTTGACTTTCTTTCTGGTGCCTGTGCCTCCATTTATGCCCCGTGTCAGGCTGTATCTTGTTGCTCACGCTGACTTTAGTAGCGTAGCAAGTTATGATTTATTCTGGCAATTTGCAAATACTGATGCAACATTTGGCCAGGATCTGTGGACATCTCAGGGTGAACCCAGTTCAGCTGATTATGGGGTCATATGAAGATGAGAATTTTGCAATAATGTACTTCTCATTTCTAGTGAATTGCTGTGTGAAAGATACCGTAGGCTGGAAAAGGGGAGAACAGAAAGGACAAGGCAAGGCTGCTGTTTCTCTGCTTCCATCTGGGGAAACTGAGAGTCCAGGAGCAGCTGTTCCTGCCCTGTTTTCATAAGTCCTTGGAGATGCACTGATAGAATTGTTGCTTATGGCCAGGCATGGTGGCTTATGTAATCCCAGCACTTTGGGAGGCCAAAGTGGGCAGAACACTTGAGCTCTGGAGTTTGAGACCAGCCTAACCAACATGGTGAAACCTCATCTCTACTAGAAATATAAAAAATTAGCGGGGTGAGGTGGCGGGTGCTTGTAATCCCAGCTCCTTGGGAGGCTGAGGCAGGAGAATTGCTTGAACCCCAGAGGGGGAGGTTCCAAAGCCGAGATTGTACCACTGCACTCCAGCCTGGGAGACAGAGTGAGACTGTCTCAAAAAAAAAAAAATTGTTGCTTTTGAGGGGTTCTCTGATTCAGCTCCACCAGAAGCAGGCTCTTAGACAGCATTAGTGTGAAAGTGACGTTTTATTTTATTTATTATTTATTTAGTTTTGAGACAGAGTTTCGCTCTTGTTGCCCAGGCTGGAGTGCAATGGCGTGATCTTGGCTCACTGCAACCTCCGCCTACCAGGTTCAAGAGATTCTCCTGCCTCAGCCTCCCAAATAGCTGGGATTACAGGCATGCACCACCACACCCAGCTAATATTCTATTTTTAGTAGAGACGGGGTTTCTCCATGTTGGTCAGGCTGGTCTCGAACTCCTGACCTCAGGTGCTCTGCCTGCCTCGACCTCCCAAAGTGCTGGGATTACAGGTGTGAGCCACCACGCCTGGCTTGAAAATTACATTTTAGGGAGTGGGGAAGAAGGGCTGGGAGGAAAATAGATTAAACAAGTGTGGGATATCTGTGTCCCTCAGATGGTATCTTTGGCTCCATCCTGCAGAAAGCAGTGGAGACAGAGAAGGTCGAAGACCAGAGGCTAGGGAGCTGGGGTCCCCACAGCCGTCAGTGGCAGTTTGTCCCGGGCATGTAAATTCCAAGGCATTTGGAGTTCTCCCAGGCAGTCCCCCAAAGAAGAGATACAAATGTTCACTTTGGAAAGGGAAAGAAGCCACGATCTAGAATGCATAAAAATGGGAAAGGGATCTGGGGAACATGGGTTGAGGAACATTGACAGAATCTATTACAGAGAGAGATGGGTGTAGGTGGAATATTGGGTGAAAAAAAATCATCATTATACCTACAATCCCATTATCCGACACAATGAGTCAGTTTCTAGACTGAGCGCTTTAAAGCCAGGATTTTTCATCATTACCTAACTCTTCAAGTTAGATATTATTAGCTCTCTGCCCCCTCCTTATATTTAACCAAAAAATAACGTATTCCAGAAAGGGAAGGGAACATTTACAAAGTCAGGAGGTAGGAGACCCAGTACTAGAACTCAAATATGTCTTGTTTCAAACTCCCCACTCCTTTTGCTGCTCCCTGATGATCAGCTCAGAAAGAACCTTATTTCAGGGAGGGGGATAGATAGATAATTAGATGTGATAGATAATAGGCAAGTAGGCAGATAAATAGATAACTAGATATGATAGATTAGATAGATACATAGATGATAGGTAGATAAGTAGCTAGATACGATGGACAGATTAGATAGATAGACAGATGATAGGTAAGTAGGTAGATAGATAACTAGATACAACAGGTTAGATAAGTAAGTAGATAGATAACTAGATATGATAGATTAGATAGATAAATAGACGATAGGTAAGTAGGTAGATAGATACAGATAGATTAGCTAGCTAGCTAGATGATAGATAACTAGATATAATAGATAAGATAGATGATTAGATAGACAGATAATTAGATATGATTGATAGATACATTAGATAGATGATAGATTAGATAGATAGATGATAGGTAACTAGGTAGCTAGATAAAGCTAGCTAGATAGATAGATAGATATACAGATACACAGATAGATACATAGATACCTAGATAGGTGATAGAGTTGCAAGATAGAAAAATTAGATAAGTAGGTGGATAGATAGATAGATAACTAGATAGAATAGATTAAATAGATAATAGTAGGTGAATAGACAGATACATACAGATGATAGATGATAGATGATAGATAACTGGTTATGATTGATAGATACATTAGATAGATGATAGATTTGGTAACTAGATGATAGGTAAGTCGGTAGATAGATAAGTGATAATTAGATATGATAGGATGGATAGATTAGACAGACAGCAGGTAAGCAGGTGGATAGACAGATAAAGATAGATACATAGATGCCTAGATAAGTGATAGATTAACAAGATAGAAAAATTAGACAGACAGATAGTTAATTACATATGATAGGATAGATAGATTGGATAGGTGATAGGCAAGTAGGTAGATAGATAAATCATAATTAGATAGGACGGATAGATTGGATAGATGATAGGTAAGTAGGTACAGAGACAGATAAAGATAGATAGGTAGATAGATAATAGATACCTAGACAGATGGTAGATAGATTAGCGAGATAGATAAATTAGATAGGTAATTCTCTATATATAGATATGTAGAAATGCCAATGCAAACATAGCGAACCAAGTAGGGGAAGCGTCTGGATGGGAGACCCTCTGTTGGTGCAGAGGACCAGGCGTGTGAAGCATCTCAGACTTGGCTCTGTAATGTGACCACAGATCATTGCACACCTAGGAAAAATTCTCAGACTCAAAGCACACTAACAAAGATAGCGGGGGTCTTGGTGAAGCCCCTTTCTGGGGCCTCACTTCTATAGTTGCTCAACTTTTTTCCTTAATCACGTTTCTGCTACTTACTCCTTAAAGTCTCACGACTTGTGTTTCTTGAATCTAAAGTGCCAAGAAAAACAAAAAACGGGGGGGAACTGCATGGACTCTGTCGCCTAGCTTTAGTAACAGGTTGCTCTCTCTTCCTCAACGCTGTGAGCTTTGGACACAACCCTTGCTGTAATCCCAGGAGTCACACGGGAATGCATGCCCTTCACCAGTGGGAGGGAAATAATTGTACTACCTTGCAGGGTTGTTGTTAAGACTTTAAAACGCTATGATGTAGACTTGCATGGCAATATTGCTCAAGAACTAGTTTTTTTTGTTTTGTTTTGTTTTTGTTTTTTAATTGGTAGAAATTTTATCTCCTGAGAGGGATGCTTTTTTGAGTTGGAGTCTTGGTCAGTTGAGTGTATGATGCAGTGATGCGATCTCGGCTCACTGCAACCTCCGCCTCCCAGGTTCAAGCAATTCTCTTCTCTCAGCCTCCTGAGTAGCTGGGACTACAGGCGTGCGCCACCATGCCCAGCTTATTTTTTATATTTTCAGTAGAGACAGGGTTTCACCATGTTGGCCAGGCTGGTCTCGAACTCCAGACCTCAAGTGATCCACCTACTTCACTCTCCCAAAGTGCCAGGATTACAGGCGTGAGCCACCGTGCCCGGCCACTGGTCATTCTTTTCTACCCTGCTCTAACCCTGTTCTTATTAGGAATCCTCCCTGAATTCTCCCAGCTGATCCCTTGTTCTGTGTCTTGGGGAATCATGTCTCCTTCAGAGAGCCCCACCCCTCCCCACTCTAAACGCCTTCCATGCCCGTGTCACTGCTGTTCATTACCTGGCATCAACGAGCTCATTGAAGTGTGTTTGAAGTTGGCTGGGCGTGGTGGTCTGTACTCCCAGCTACCCTGGAGGCCGAGTGAGGAGGACCACTTGAGCCCAGGAATTCGAGTATGATCACACCACTGCACTCTAGCCTGGGCAACAATGGGAACCCATTGGCACATCTGGGATTGGCATCCTGAGCTCCCATCTGTGACCTCCCTCCTCTCCCCTCCTCTCCCCTCCATTGCCCTCACCCTCTCCCCATAATCTTCACATCCCGTCCTTTCACATCTCTCTCTCTCCTTTAAAAAAAGAAAAAGGAAATATGTTTGAAGTTAAGAGCTGAGATCATGTCTGTGTTAGCCAGGGTTTTCCAGAAAAACAGAACCAATAGAACATATAGATATAAGCTGGGTGTGGTGGCTCACGCCTGTAATCCCAGCACTTTGGGAGGCCGAGGCAGGCAGATTGCCTGAGGTCAGTAGTTCAAGACCAGCGTGGCCAACATGGCGAAACCCCGTCTCTACTAAAAATACAAAAATTAGCCGGGCGTGATGGTGGGCACCTGTAATCCCAGCTACTCAGGAGGCTAAGGCAGGAGAATTGCTTGAACCCGGGAGGCGGAGCTTGCAGTGAGCCAAGATTGCACTATTGCACTCCAGCCTGGACGATAAGAGTGAGACTTTGTCTCAAAAAAAAAAAAGAGAACATATACATGTATATACATATATGGAGAGAGAGATTGATTTTAATGGATTGGTTCACGTGATTGTGGGGAGCTGGCAAGTCTGAAATCTGCAGGGCAGGCAGGCAGGGGATCCAGGGGAGACTTGATATTGCAGCTTGAGTCTGGAGGCAGAATTCCTTCCACCTTGGGGGACCTCAGTCTTTTCTCTTAAAGTCTTAAAGTCTTCAACTGATTGGATGAGGCCCACCCCTATGACAGTGGGTCATCTGCTTTACTCAAAGTCTATTGGTCGAAATGTCCAGCTCCAAGGAAGTTCCAGCTCCAAGGTGGGAGATCCAGGCTTGGAAGCCAGGCCATCTGTCTGGCTTCTCTTAGCTTTTCTACTCACCCCATCAGTGGATTTCAGACAGTGATTACACAGACAGATGTGGTGGCTCACGCCTGTAATCCCAACTACTCAGGAGGCTGAGTCAGGAGAATTGTTTGAACCAGGGAGGTGGAGGTTGCAGTGAGCCAGGATCACACTCCAGCCTGGGTGACAGAACACGACTCCATCTCAAAAAAAAAAAAGTGTGTATATATATATATATATGTATATATATATATATATATATATATATATATACACATTTATATATACACACACATATATATACATTTATATATATATATACACACACACACACGTATATATATATATGGAGCACCTGGAACAGAGCTGGCTCACAATAAATGATCAATATCATTGCTATGCACCAAACATTCCCTGGGAATTTTTGGAATTTCCTATGCGCCAAGCACTGTTCCAGCCCTTTCTATAGGTACTGACCCACCATCCAATAAAGTAGCTACTGCTGCTATCCTCACTTTACAGATGGGGAAACAGAAGCTTGGAGAAGATTAAGGAAATTCCCCAAAGCAATAGGAAGTTCCAGCTCCGAGGTGGGAGATCCAGGCTTGGAAGCCAGGCCATCTGTCTGGCTTCTCTTAGCTTTTCGGCTCGCCCCTATCAGTGGATTTCAGGAGCCAGGCTGATTCCCTGACCTGCTCTTCCCCCTCCAGACACCAGAACCATCTTTGTCGCCATCTTCAGCTGCATCTCCATCCTTCTCCTCTTCCTCTCAGTCTTCATCATCTACAGATGCAGCCAGCACAGTGAGCTCAGAGAACGCAAAGGGAGAGAGGGGGAGTGAAGGATTTTCTCGGTAGGTAAATTCCTCCTGCATTTTTTGTAGGTTCATCATCTGAGGAATCCACCAAGAGGTAGATGCTTGGCATAGCTCATGCTCCACTTATTCCCATGTCATTCTCAAGGGAACCCATTGGCACATCCGGGATTGGCACCCTGAGCCCCCACCCCAGCCCATTCTGTGACCTTCCTCCTCTCCCTTCTTCTCCCTTCCTCTCCCCTCCATTGCCCTCACCCTCTCCCCGAAATCTTCACATCCCATCCTTTCACGTGTGTCTCTCTCTTTCAGAACCAGCCATTCCAAACTTCCGGAGCAGGAGGCTGCCGGTAAGGGACAGGGGAAGTTTAAGGGAATCACCGGATAGAAAGACTAAGTTCTGACTTCTGCAGCTGAGAACTGATTTTTTTTTTTCCTTTCTCACTCAGAGGCAGATTTATCCAATATGGAAAGGGTATCTCTCTCGGTGAGTCCTCCCGCTTAGGAGTCCCACAAGAGCTCCCTCACCACAATGGGCTGGTCGTGTGTGCCTCCTGGTTAAGCCCATACAGAAATGTATACTGTTTATCACGCATGTGGTCTTAGACAAGTCACGAAACTCCCCTAATGGGAACCAAAATCTCCATTTAAAAGGCTTATGCATGGGCCGGGCGCGGTGGCTCACGCCTGTAATCCCAGCACTTTGGGAGGCCGAGGCGGGCGGATCATGAGGTCAGGAGATCGAGACCATCCTGGTTAACATGGTGAAACCCCATCTCTACTAAAGATACAAAAAATTAGCTGGGCGTGGTAGTGGGCGCCTGTAATCCCAGCTACTCAGGAGGCTGAGCCAGGAGAATGGCTTGAACCCGGGAGGCGGAGGTTGCAGTGAGCCGAGATCACGCCACCGCACTCCAGCCTGGGCGACAGAGCCAGACTCTGTCCCAAAATAAATAAATAAATAAAAATTTAAAAAAAATGAAAAAAGGCTTACGCAGATCCATTGATGTCACAGGCATAAAGGGTTATAAAAACAGAAAAGAAAAAGAAATGCATCTGGTGTGACCGAGGACCTGGGTTTTAAATTAAATTTAATTGTAATTAACTTAAATGTCAATAGCCATGTGTGGCTAGTGGCTGCCATATTGAACACTCAGTTCTAATATTCATCTATTTTCTCCAAAGACGGCAGACCCCCAAGGAGTGACCTATGCTGAGCTAAGCACCAGCGCCCTGTCTGAGGCAGCTTCAGACACCACCCAGGAGCCCCCAGGATCTCATGAATATGCGGCACTGAAAGTGTAGCAAGAAGACAGCCCTGGCCACTAAAGGAGGGGGGATCGTGCTGGCCAAGGTTATCGGAAATCTGGAGATGCAGATACTGTGTTTCCTTGCTCTTCGTCCATATCAATAAAATTAAGTTTCTCGTCTTAAAAAGAAATCTGACTTATTTATGGATTATTCATGCCCAAGAACCCCACCATACTCTTTCTACCCCACATTTCCTCCTAGAACAATTCAAGGAAATAATAAATAATGATTGACCAGCTATCCAGGAAAGAATGTAAGAATTACTGAGCATCTCCAGGAAGCACAACAAGCAAAAAAGAAAACGGCCGGGCTCACGCCTGTCATCCCAGCACTTTGGGAGGCCGAGGTGGGTGGATCATCTGAGGTCAGAGTTCAAGACCAGCCTGACCAACATGGTGAAATCCCATCTCTACTAAAAATAAAAAATTAGTTGGACGTGGTGGCAGGCGCCTGTAATCCCCGCTACTTGGGAGACTGAGGCAGAAGAATCGCTTGAACCCAGGAGGCAGAGATTGCAGTGAGCTGAGATGGCGCCATTGAATTCCAGCCTGGGCAATGGAGTGAGACTCCATCTCAAAAAAAAAAAAAAAAAAAAACAAAAAACGCCCAGAGCTGCAAACTCCTAGACCAGAGGGCAGAAAACAAAAGGACCAGAGAGTAACACGTCCAGCTTTGTGGGCTGTAGGATCTCTGCTGAGACTACCCCACTCTGCTGTTGTACCATGAAAGCAGCCATCGCTGATATGTAAACAAGTAGGTGTGGCGGTGTTAGAATAAAACTTTATTTACAACTTCATGTTCTCACTCATGTAGGAGCTAAAAAAGTAGATCTCATGAAGGTAAAGAGAGAGTCAGTTATCAAAGGCTAGAAGGGGTGGGATAGTTAATGGGCACAAACACAGTTGGATAGAAGGAATAAGTTCAAGTGTTCAATAGCACAGAAGGGTGACTATAGTTAACAGCAATATATTGTATATTTCAAAATAGCTAGAAGAGAAGATTTGAAACATTCCCAACACAAACGATAAATGAGCCAGGTGCAGTGGCTCACTCCTGTAATCCCAACACTTTGAGAGGCCAAGATGGGTGGATCACCTGAGGTCAGGAGTTCAAGACCAGCCTGGCCAACAAGGTGAAACCCCATCTCCACTAAAAATACAAAAATTAGCTGGGTGTGGTGGCGCACACCTGTAATCCCAGCCACTTGGGAGGCTGAGGCAGAAGAATTGCTTGAACTCGGGAGGCAGAGGTTGCAGTGAGCCAAGATCACACCACTGTACTCCAGCCTGGGCGACAGAGAGAGACTCTGTCTCGAAAAGATAAAAAAAAAGATAAATGTTTGAGGTGGTGAATATCCTAAATACCCTAATTTGAGTATTATACATTCTGTGCATGTATCAAACTATCACATGTATGTCATAAATATGCATAAATATTATGTATCTATAGAAAGTTTTTTTTTTTTTGATGGAGTCTTGCTCTGTCGCCCAGGCGCCAGAGTGCAGTGGCGTGATCTCAGCTCGCTGCAACCTCTCCCCGCAGGTTCAAATGATTCTCCTGTCTCAGCCTCCTGAGTAGCTGGGATTACAAGCTTCTGCCATCACACCAGGCTAATTTTTTTGTATTTTTAGTAGAGATGGGGTTTCACCATGTTGGCCAGGCTGGTCTTGAGCTCCTGACCTCAAGTCATCCGCCTGCCTCGGCTTCCCATAGTGCTGGGATTACAGGCGTGAGCCACCGTGCCCAGCCCAGAAAGTTGTTTTAAAAACAAAAAATTTTATTTGCAAAAACAAGCTGTGGGCTCTAGCGTGCCAACCCTTGTGCTAGGCCAGTGCTTTTTAAAGTCTGCTTGGGCCATCACCCCAACCACTTCTGGCCCTGATGAGGGTCCAGGGCATGAGAGGGAAGGAGAGAGTGTCTTAGTCCATCCAGGCTGCTATCAACATACCAAAGACCTGGCAGCTTACAGACAACACATAGTTATTTCTCATGGTTCTGGAGGCTGGAAGTCCAAGACCAAAGCACTGGTAGATTCAGTGTCTGCTGAGGGCTTTTTTCCTGGTTCATAGCTGGCACCTTCTTGCTGTGTCCTTACATAGTGAAAGAGACTGGGCCGGGCGCAGTGGCTCACGCCTGTAATCTCAGGACTTTGGGAGACCGAGTGGGGGGCGGATCACCTGAGATCAGGAGTTCGAAACCAGCCTGACCAACACGGTGAAACCCCATCTCTACTAAAAATATAAAAATTAGCTGGGCGCAGTGGTGGGTGCCTGTCATCCCAGCTACTTGGGAGGCTGAGGCAGGAGAATTGCTTGCACCTGGGAGGCGGAGGTTGAAGTGAGCCGAAATCGTGCCACTGCACTCCAGCCTGAATGACAGAGCCAGACTCCATCTCAAAAAAAAAAAAAAAAAAAAGAGTGAAGGCTTAATAAGCAAAAGAAAGAGAAAAGAGAATAGTTCTCTCTTTTGCACAGAGAAGAGAGGGGTTCCCGAGTGGGACCCCTGGTTTTGTGGTGAAATGCATGGGGCTTTTATAGACAAGCTTGAGGAGGTGCTGTCTGATTTACATAGGGCCTGAGAGATTAGTCGGACCAGGTATGACGTTTGCATAGCCCCCAAAGAAGCTGGCCATCCCACCCTAATCTTTTATTACGTAGGTAGGGTCTCTGCCTGGCCGGGGCCATGTTGTCTGCTTTTTTACTGCACATGTGGGGACAAAGAAAAGGGAAGAGGGAACCTCCATGTTGAATATACCCGGCTCCCAGGCATCCGTTTTCTATTGGCACAGCTGATGCAAGATTTTAGCTTGTTTATCTATGCTTGCAGCTTGATGTTTCAGGCTGCTTTCTGTTAGAAAAGAAATTATTTGGGGGCTGCTCTTTATTAATAGGAAACCTTACTGAGGACTCTCTTACCCTCACTGTCTGCCTCAATAATTTCTTTTTAGCTCCCGTATTACAAATACCATCACCTTGGGGTTAGGTTCCAACAGCTGAATTTTGTCGGGACACAAACATTGAGTTTACAATACCCATGAAGCTGTCTCTGCTTGTATCTTGTCCTAACCAGAAGCTCCCAGGATTGCTGCATCTGAAGGAACAACCTTGATATATGGCTTGTGTCTGTGTCCCCACCCAAATCTCATCTTCAGTTGTAGCTCCCATAATTCCCATGTGTTGTGGGATGGACCCAGTGGGAGATAATTCAATCATGGGGGTGGATTCCTGCAGGGTCCTATGGGGCTTTGCAGGTGTTCTCCCCGTGTGCAGAGATAAGAGATTGTAAGAAATAAAGACACAAGACAAAGAGATAAAGAGAAAACAGCTGGGCCCGGAGGACCACAACCATCAAGACGCGGAGACCGGTAGTGGCCCATAACGGCTGGGCGCGCTGATACTTATTGCATACAAGATAAGGGGGCAGGGTAAGCAGGGTGAATCTTCGAAGTGATTGACAAGGTGAAGCAAGTCGTGTGATCACAGGAGAGGGGGCCCTTCCCTCTTAGGTAGCCGAAGCAGAGAGAGAGGGAGAAGGCAGCATACGTCAGCGTTTTCTTCCATGCACTTATAAGAAAGATCAAAGACTTTAAGACTTTCACTATTTCTTCTACCGCTATCTACTATGAACTTCAAAGAGGAGCCAGGAGTACGGGAGGAGCATGAAAGTGGACAAGGAGTGTGAGCACTGAAGCACAGCACCACAGGGAGGGGTTTAGGCCTCCGGATGACTGCGGGCAGGCCTGGATAATATCCAGCCTTCCACAAGAAGCTGGTGGAGCAGAGTGTTCCCTGACTCCTCCAAGGAAAGGAGACTCCCTTTCACCGTCTGCTAAGTAACGGGTGCCTTCCCAGACACTGGCGTTACCGCTTGACCAAGGACCCCTCAAGCGGCCCTGATGCACGCGTGACAGAGGGCTCACCTCTTGCCTTCTAGGTCACTTCTCACCATGTCCCTTCAGCACCTGACCCTATACCCGCCGGTTATTCCTAGGTTATATTAGTAATGCAGCAAAGAGTAATATTAAAAGCTAATGATTAATAATGTTTATAATAATGATTGATAATTGTCCATGATCATCTCTACATCTAATTTGTATTATGACTATTCTTATTCTATTTTCTTTATTATACTGCAACAGTTTGTGCCTTCAGTCTCTTGCCTCAGCACCTGGCTAATCCTCCACCCACACATTCCCCCATGCCGTTCTCATGGTAGTGAACAAGTCTCAGGAGAGCTGAGGTTTTTATAACGGGTTTCCCCTTTTGCTTGGCTCTCTCATTTCTCTGTCGTCTGCCACCATGTAAGATGTGCCTTTCACCTTCTGCCATGATTGTGAGGCCTCCCCAGCCATGTGGAACTGTAAGTCCGTTATACCTCTTTTTTAAAAAGTAAACTGACTGGGCGCAGTGGCTCACGCCTGTAATCCCAGCACTCTGGGAGGCCGAGGCGGGTGGATCATGAGGTCAGGAGATCGAGACCATCCTGGATAACACAGTGAAACCCCGTCTCTACTAAAAATACAAAAAATTAGCCGGGCGCGGTGGCGGGCGCCTGTAGTCCCAGCTACTCAGGAGGCTGAGGCAGGAGAATGGTGTGACCCCGGGAGGCGGAGCTTGCAGTGAGCGGAGATCGTGCCACTGCACTCCAGCCTGGGTGACAGAGTGCGTCTCAAAAAAATAAATAAATAAAAATAAAAATAAAAATAAATTACTCAGTCTCAGGTATGTCTTTATCAGCAGTGTGAAAACAGACTAACGCAAACTTCTTCGCTCCCCCTCCCCTCACTACACAGTCCCAGGTTGCAGTGTGGAGGCCACATAGGGAGTAGCAAGGTGGGGAGGAGTGTCTCTTTGTTTTCTTGCCACAGAGAGTCATTCTTTTTTAAGCTTGGGAGTTCTTGGTGGCCATCTGTCTCGCCATGTGGAGGAAGCCAGTCTTTATGGAGAAACACAAAGATGACTCAGGGAGCATCCGGGAAGCGGGAGTGAGTAACAGTGCTTTCAGCTTTTGTTTTCTTGGTTCTAATTGCTTCCAAAGCTCAGCATTCCTTCACTCCCTGCAGTTTTCTTGCCCAATCCTTCTTGAACCAAAAAAACCCAAAAAGTCCTCCTTTGATTCTAAGCTATTCTGAGAATGGATTTTGTTTTGATTGAAGGGTCCTGGCAAACATTATTAAAATGGGTGGCCCTAATGGATATCCTTTATGGACATCTATGCTGGTAGTCACACTCACTGAATTACCATAGTGAGGACTCAGCTCTGATTTTTTTTTTTTATCTTGCCCAGATTCTTATCTAAGGGGTCTGGGGTCTCATGCCCTACAAACCATAAATTCTCATCAGATGGGTTTTATTTAGCCCTATATATCGTGACTTACTTTCCAATCTGACTCTGGCATAACATTACCTAACAAAGAAGAAAATAAAAATATTTTACCCCAAAACATGTTTCTTTGCCATATTTTTAAATGGCCCTGCAAAGCTGTCCTTGGTGGGGGGGAATATTTGCATATGTAAAGGATCTCTGTTAACATTGCTAGATCTTTTTCCTCCAGGACCTCCCAATCCTGAGGAGGTTAACTGAGAATCTAGCAACTTTTGAAGGTCTGAGTAGGAAACATTTGTCATCTATTGTCTCTAAGGGCAGCCACTATAAGACTTCAAAAGAACCTTGGTCTCCACAATCTTTTATCTTAACCTGAATATTTCCTCTCTATTAATCCCAGGTCTTTAGACAAACTCAACCAATTGTCAACCAGAAAATGTTTTAATTTACCTAAAGCCTGGAAGGCCCTGCCTCCTTCAAATTGTCCAGCCTTTCTGGACCAAACCAATGTATTTCTCAAATGTGTTTGATTGATGCCTCACGCCTCCCTAAAATGTATAAAACCAAGCTGCCCCCCGACCACCTTGGGTACATGGTCTCAGGACCTCCTTAGGGCTGTGTCAGGGGCCATGGTCATTATCATATTTGGCTCAGAATAAATCTCTTCAAATATTTTATAGAGTTTGACTCTTTTTGTCAACAAGAGTAAGTCTTGATATGTGATACGATCTGAGGGAGGCTCGGATCCACAGCTGGGGTTTGGACAGCTGTAGCATCACCCTGGGAGCTCCCGCCCCAACTCGGAAGGGGCAGGGCTCCCTGCGGCTCCATAGCGTGTATAGCCCGGGCTGGGCCTCCCTGGGGCAGGTGGCGTCATGGCAGCAGCAAGCCGTCTGGAGTGGCTGCTGCCATCACCAAAGGCCCAACCTCTCAGATCACATTGGGTGTCAAGATTTAACATGAGGCCGGGCGCGGTGGCTCACGCCTGTAATCCCAGCACTTTGGGAGGCCGAGGTGGGTGGATCATGAGGTCAGGAGATCGAGACCATCCTGGCTAACATATCTCTACTATAAATACAAAAAATTAGCCAGGTGTGGTGGCGGGTGCCTGTAGTCTCAGCTACTCGGGAGGCTGAGGCAGGAAAATGGCATGAACCTGGGAGGCGGAGCTTGCAGTGAGCCGAGATCCATCATTGCACTCCAGCCTGGGTGACAGAGCAAGACTCTGTCTCAAAAAAAAAAAAAAAAAAAAAGATTTAATATGTGGCCAGGCGCGGTAGCTCACACCTGTAATCCCAACACTTTGGGAGGTCAAAGTGGGAGGATCATGGGGTCAAGAGATCGAGACCATCCTGGCCAATATGGTGAAACCCTGCCTCTACTAAAAATACAAAAATTAGCTGGGAATAGTGGCACACGCCTGTAGTCCCTGCTACTCAGGAGGCTGAGGCAGGAGAATTGCTTGAACCCAGGAGGCAGAGGTTGCAGTGAGCCGAGATCACACCATTGCACTCCAGCCTGGGCGACAGAGGGAAACTCTGTCTCAGAAAAAAAAATAGAAAAGATCTAACATATGAATCTGTGGAAAGCACCGCCATGCAGCACAGGCCCAGGATTTGAAGTAAACTGAAGAGGCTCAACACATGTGGAGGTGGCTTTGTAAATAACTTCAGGAAACTAACTGAGGGTCATGTACCAGCAGGAGCAACTTCATAAAGGGGCCATGGAGAACCTGAGTTCCTTGCTGTTAAAAAGGAATATATAAATCCTGTTAGTTCAGAGAAAGCACAGATCATCAGTCTGATGAGGATAGGGCTTAATTATGGGCTGAATTACATCTCCTCAAAATTCGTGTGCTGAATCCTAACTCCCAGTAACTCAGAATGTGACTGTATTTAGAGACAAGAGGCCGTTGTGAAAAAAGGAAATTTGGACATAAAAAAGACACTAGGGGCTACGTGTGGTGGCTCACGCCTGTAATTTCAGCACTTTGGGAAGCCCAGGTGGGCGGATCGCCTGAGGTCAGGAGTTCAAGACCAGCCTGGCCAACATGGCCAAACCCCATGTCTACTAAAAATACAAAAATTAGCTGGGCGCGGTGGTGCACGCCTGTAATCCCAGCTACTCGATAGGCTGAGGCAGGGGAATCGCTTGAATCCAGGAGGCAGAGGCTGCAGTGAGCTGAGATCGTGTCATTGCACTCCAGCTGGGCAACAGAGTAAGACTCCAACTCAAAAAAAAAAAAAAGAAAAGGACACCAGGATATGTACATCCAGAGGAAAGACCACGTGGAGACACAGCAAGAAGGCGGCCATCTGCATACAAAGCAGAGAGACCCCGGGAGAAACTGACCCTACTGGCACCTCCATCTTGGATTTCCAGCCTGCAGAACGGTGAGAAAATCCATTTCTGTCCCATAAGCCCCCCAGTGGGGGGCATTTTGTTATGGCTTCCCTAGCACACAACTGTAGGTGGTAAACATATTTTAAACATTATAGTGATCATTTGTAAAAAAAAAAAAAAAAAAAAATTCAAAGAAATATATTTTCTACAGCTTCTCTTTATGATACCCTATGTTCCAAAGGCTACCTATTGTATTTTCTAGAAGACTATAAGAATTTTTCACACATGCTGGGGCCTGTCAGAGGGTGGAGGGTGGTAGCAGAGAGAGGATCAGGAAAAATAACTAGTGGGTACTAGGCTTAATAACTGGGTGATAAAATAATCTGATAATCAGGAAGTAGTAAATACACTAGAAAAAAAATAATCTGTACAACAAACCCCCATGACACACGTTTACCCGTGTAACAAACCTGCACATCCTGCCCATGTACCCCTGAACTTAAATGTCAAAAAAAAAAAAAGAATTTTTCTAGTATCATGCCAGGCTCTGTGGTTCATGCCTGTAATCCCAGCACTTTGGGAGGCTGAGGCAAGTTGATTGCTTGAGCATAGGAGTTCGAGACCAGCCTGGGGAAAATGGTAAAACCCTGTCTATACTAAAAATACAAAAATTAGCTGAGCATGGTGGTGCATGCTTGTAGTCCGGGCTACTCTAGAGGCTGAGGCAGGAGGATCGCTGGAGCCCAGGAGGTGGAGGCTGCAGTGAGCCATCATTGCACCACTGCACTCCAGCCTGGGTGACAGAGTGAGACCCTGTCTCAAAAAAAAAAAAATCAATTTTTCTAGTGCTATACATTTAATTTTTTTTTCTGTTATGAACATTAGGTTTCTTTGCCTTATTGTTTCAAATTCTTTGGAAGCATTGTTCAATCAATCACATGAGCACAATAGTTGGTACAAAACAGTCATTATTTTGAAAGACCATCACCTGATATGAACAGTTCATTCATAAACTTGAGCCTTTTTTTGTTTTTGTTTTTGTTTTTGAGACAGAATCTTGCTCTGTTGCCCAGGCTGGCGTTCAGTGGCACGATCTCTGGTCACTGCAACCTCCACCTCCCAGGCTCAAGTGATTCTCCTGCCTCAGCCTCCCAAGTAGCTGGGATTACAGGTGCCTGCCACCACGTCCAGCTAATTATTTATTTATTTAATTTATTTTTTGAGACGGAGTTTCACTCTTGTCACCCAGGCTGGAGTGCAGTGGCACGATCTTGGCTCACTGAAACCTCCACCTCCTGGGTTCAAGCAATTCTCCTGCCTTAGCCTCCTGAGTAGCTGGGATTACAGGCGCCCACCACCATGCCGGGCTAATTTTTGTATTTTTCGTAGAGACGGGGTTTCACCATGTTAGCCAGGCTGGTCTCAATCTCCCAGCCTCAGGTGATCTGCCTGCCTCAGCTTCCCAAAGCACTGGGATTACAGGTGTGAGCCACCGTGCCTGGCTGAGTTTGTTTTGTTTTAAAGACCTCAGGGATGTACCTCTAATTGACACTACATCACATTAATCAATAGCTGCACTTTTTGCAAACTGTGGCTATGACAGTCCTGAACAAGAAGGGTTTCCTGCTTAAGCTGCAGTAACTTTTCTGACTATGGATCATTGTTCCTTCTGTGGCAGATTTTTACACCTCCTCTAATGCATTTGGGATGACTGTCTCCAAGTAACCTGCAGCTTTCCTCACTGTCTCTCCTGCTAAGAACTGTTGCCCTTTTCTGCTGTTTTTAGAACCTTCTGTTTTCATATCCACCAGTTCCACGGCCAGATCTATAACGACCACCAGAGGGACTGCCTGAGCTTCTTCCACCAAAACTGCCCCGCATAAACTTGAGCTTTTAAGCGGCATTATATATAAGCCCTATACGAGTTTAACTTGATCTTGTTAAGGTAAACAATCTGTTCAGTCTCACTTTCTTTTTGCATTGATAATTTTAATAATGTCTGATCATTTACTTTCTAAAATCACAAATGCAGTAGCAAGTTTTGGCCAGTTTCATTTTCTTAACTTTTCTCCTCCACATGGGACATGCTACGGGAAGAGGCTTAGAATCGTGGAAAGAGGAGAGTCATCTGCTTTCAGTGCTGGATACAAGGGCAGGTTGTGTGACCTTGGGAACACGTGTTAAAATCTCCAGAACTGCATGTGCCTTTCCTCATCGTGAAGACACAGATCTCGAATAGGGTTGTTGTAGATAGTATGACCAACTGTTACCGTTTTACCAGGATTGGTGTGTGCAGGGGCGTGTGTGTGTGTCTTAGGATGTGGGACTTTCGGTTTTAAAATAGAAATGAGGAATTTCCCAGGACACAGAAATTTCAGGGCTAAACCAGAGAAAATCCTGGGCGAACCGGAACAATTTGGTTGCCCTAGTTGTAAGCACGTGAGTTGCAAAGATGTAGGTGTGATTATTCCCTTGATTCAGTAAACAATTTTTTTCTTTTTTCCCATTGCCCTATCAACCCAACTCCTAGGTCTAATTCTTTACCTGTGCCCTTGGGTGACATGTAAAGCAAGTCTCATAACTTTTTTTTTTTTTGAGACAGTCTTGCTCTGTTGCCCAGCCTGGAGTGCTATGGTGCAGTCATGGTTCACTGCAACCTCTGCCTCCCAGGTTCAAGTGATTCTCCTGCCTCAGCCTCCCGAGCAGCTGGGATTACAAGCATGTGCTACCACGCCCAGCTAATTTTTGTATTTTTAGTAGAGACAGGGTTTCGCCATGTTGGCCAGGCTGGTCTCGAACTCCTGACCTTAAGTGATCCGCCCACCTTGGCCTCCCAAAGTGCTAGGATTACAGGTGTGAGCCACTGCGCCCGGCCTTCTCATAATTTTTATAGTCATCTTAGGTCATAAAGACTTCCAGCTGCTTCTTAAAAAAGTCACATACAAGAAAAAAATACAGTGTCAGCTCAGTGATTAAAATCCTTTCGGCAGGTTGCCTGCAACGTGGAGGAAGCGTGGTCAGCTTTTCCTTTATCTCCCCACGTGGAGCTTCTCCTGCTTCCCCCACTCTCTTGCAAGGCTGCAGACCTCTCACCTGCAGTTCCCTTGATGCCTGTAAATGCAGCTCCTCCACTTGGTCACATTACTGAATCCTTGGGGATCCGTCAGTACATTTCCAGCTTCTCTCTGCAGACTTCACCTCCTACCTCCAGGTGGCGCTCCTGCAAAGGATAAAAGCTCCTGGTACATTCATTCTCATATTCATTCTCTCTCCCCCCTCTCCCCCCCTCCCCCATTTCTCCCCTCTCCCCTCTCTCCCCTCCCACCCTCTCTCTCTCCTCCCACCCTCTCTCTCCAGTGAGGAAAGACCCTGTGTTAGCCCGTTCTCACACTGCTATAAATAGCCGAGGCCGTGTGTGGTGGCTCACACCTGTAATCTTAGCACTTTGGGAGGCTGAGGTGGGCGGATCACTTGAGGTTAGGAGTTCGAGACTAGCCTGGTCAACATGGTGAACGCCACCTCTACTAAAAATACAAAATTAGCCGGCTATTGGCGCATGCCTGTTGTCCCAGTTACTCGGTAGGCTGAGGCAGGAGAATCGCTTGAACCCAGGAGGCGGAGGTTGCAGTGAGCTGAGATTGCACCACTGCACACCAGCCTGGATGACAGGGGGGCTCAGTCTCAAAAAAAAAAGAAAGAGATTTAATTGACTTACAATTCCACATGGCTAGGGTGGCCTCAGGAAACTACAGTCATGGCAGAAGGGGAAGGAGAAGCAAATATCTTCTTCACAAGGCAACAAGAGAGAGAGAAGAGCAAGCAAAGGAGGAACTTGCCAAACGCTTATAAAACCATCAGATCTCCTGAGAACTCACTTTATCATGAGAACAACAAGGTAGAAGCCACCTCCATGATTCAATCACCTCCCACCAGGTTCCTCCCCCAACACCTGGGGATTACAATTCAAGATGAGATTTGGGTGGGGACATAAAGCCAAACCATATCAGACCCCATTCCTCTCTGGACCCGCCCCTCACCCCATATAACTACTCTGAATTGTCCAGTTGAAGAGACTGTCATCCTCCATCACACATCTACGGTGGACAGAGGATGGGACTCACAGCACACCAACAGCTTACGTAAACAAACACACAGAAACAAAACAAAACAAAAACTCTTCTAATCTCTGGAGACTATTATTCTAAGTGAAGTAACTCAGGAATGGAAAACCAAACATCATATGTTCTCACTGATATGTGGGAGCTAAACTATGAGGATGCAAAGGCATAAGAATGATACAATGGACTTTGGGGACTTGGGGGGAAAGGTGAGAGGGGGGCGAGGGATAAAAGACTATAAATGGGGTGCAGTGTATACTGCTTGGGTGATGGCTACACCACAATCTCACAAAGCACCACTAAAGAACTTACTCATGCAACCAAACACCACCTGTATCCCAATAGGAAAAAAAATACCTTCTAATCTCAACACTCCTTTCTTTTTTTTTTCTTTTTTTAATTTTTATTTATTTATTTATTTTTATTTTATTTTATTATTATTATACTTTAAGTTTTAGGGTACATGTGCACAATGTGCAGGTTAGTTACATATGTATACATGTGCCATGCTGGTGTGCTGCACCCACTAACTCGTCATTTAGCATTAGGTATATCTCCTAATGCTATCCCTCCCCCTTCCCCCCAACACTCCTTTCTTACCTTCAGGTGGACAAGAGGCCAAGGGTGTGGGGAAATTAGGTTTTCAGCATTTTCTCCTGAAGTCATGCAGAAATGGCCTTACTGTGAGATCTGACCTCGCTGGCATCTATAATCTTTGGGCCTGAGCAGAAACTGAGATTGCAATGAATCTACTTTGACATTCTGTTATATACATGTGCAAAAACCTTGGGAATACTGGGTATGAGCAGTTTGGAAGGAGAATGGATGGTAGGAATTCATTTTCATAAAAAAAAAAAAAGCTCATGAATAAGTGCACAAGAAAATGTAAGATCAGCCGGGCACAGTGGCTCACACCCGTAATCCCAGCACTTTGGGAGGCCGAGGCAGGCAGATCACCGGAGGTCAGGAATTGGAGACCAACCTGACCAACACAGAGAAACCCTGTCTCTACTAAAAATACAAAATTAGCCGGGCGTGGTGGTGCATGCCTGTAATCTCAGCTAATGGGGAGGCTGAGGCAGGAGAATCACTTGAATCCGGGAGGTGGAGGTTGTGTTGAGCTGAGATCGCACCACTGTACTCCAGCCTGGGCATCTCTAAAATATAAAAATTAGCCAGGCTTGGTGGCGGGCGCCTGTAATCCCAGCTGCTCAGGAGGCTGAGGCAGGAGAATCGCTTGAATCTGCGGGGTGGAGGTTGCTGTGAGCCAAGATGGTGCCACTTCATTGCAGCCTGGGCGAAAGAGTGAGACTCTGTCTCAAAAAAAAAAAAAAAAAAAAAGAGAACCCAGACCTGGAGTGGTGTCTCACGCCTGTAATCCCAGTATGGTGTCTCACTGCAGCCTTGACCTCCTAAGCTCAAGTGATCCTCCCGCCTCAGCTTCCTGAGAAGCTGGACGCACAGGCAAATGCTAATTTTTAAAAACTTTTTTGTAGAGATGGGATTTTGCCATGTTGCCCAGGCTGGTCTTGAACACCTGGGCTCAAGAGATCCTTCTGCCTCAGACTCCCAAAGTGCTGGGATTATAGGCGTGAGCTGCCACACCTGGCCTCCAGAACTATTTTAAAATAAAAAGTTAAGCCAGGTGAGGTGGCTCGCTCCTGTAATGCCAGCACTTTGGGAGGCTGAGGTGGGCAGATCACTTGAGGTCAGGAGTTTGAGACCAGCCTGGCCAACATGGTGAAGCCCTGTCTCTACGGAAAATACAAAAATTAGCTGGGCATAGTAGCAGGTGCCTGTAGCCCCAGCTACTCGGGAGGCTGAGGCAGGAGAATTGCTTGAACCCAGGAGGTGGAGGTTGCAGTGAGCCGAGATCGCGCCACTGCACTCCAGCCTGGGCGACAAGAGCAAGACTCTGTCTCAAATAAATAAATAAAAAGTTAATTTTTTGGAAAGGATGAGATAAAAAGCAGACGAAGGGCATAGAAAGGCCCTTCCAACGCGGCCCTCTCCAACATGAGGAAGCCTCCCACGAGATTTCCACTCACATCTCAAGAAACACAATTGCATCCAGCCCCTTCCTTAAATAACCACTAGCAGTGGGCGTGAGTTTACCTAACTGGGCTAAAGGTGTTTAAACTTCAGTGTGCATCAGAATCACCTGGAGGACTTGTCAAACCATAGGTTGGAGAGGAGGAGAAAGGAAAAGCTCACCTTCAGAGTTTCTGACTGATTCAGTAGGTCTGGGGTGGGGCTCAAGAATTTGCCTTTCTGACGAGCTCCCAGGTGATGCTGACGCTGCTGGTTCAGGGACCACACTTTCACAACCAGCACGTCACTAAGCCTTAGACTAATCAAGATTCATGCCTGAAACTAGAAAAGGGCCAAGTCTCCAAGGAACAAGGGTGGCCAACTGACACCTGAACAAAATCAGGGTTCTCGGCTGGGTGCGGTGGCTCAGGCCTGTAATCCCAGCACTTTGGGAGGCTGAGGTGGGCGAATCACGAGGTCAGGAGTTTGAGACCAGCCTGACCAACATGGTGAAACCCCGTCTCTACTAAAAATTCAAAAATTAGCTGGGTGTGGTGGCGAGCACCTGTAATCCAGCTACTGGGGAGGCTGAGGCAGGAGAATCACTTGAATCTGGGAGGTGGAGTTTGCAGTGAGCTGAGATTGCACCACTGCACTCTAGCCTGGGCGACAGAGCAAGACTGCATCTCAAGAAACAAAAACAAAAACAAAATCAGGATTCTCTTAGCAGAGAAGATTTTGGATTTTGAGAAACACCTGTCCCTTATATCGTACGATGACTTTTCTCTTATTTTTTCTGATCTTAATATAATTATATCAGCTTCCTGGAGAAGTTCCTCCACCACATTTTCTTACTTGTTCATTTTTCTTCAGCTGTATCAATTCTGCCTTTTTTTTTTTTTTTTTTAAAGAGACACGGTCTCACCATGTTGCCCAGACTGGTCTCGAACTCCTGGTCTCAAGTGATCATCCCACCTCAGCCTCTCAAAGTGCTGGGATTACAGGCGTGAGCCACGGCACCCACCCTACTGCCTATTCTGTTAGAGGATAATGTTATATATTTTTTACCATCATGTATTTTTATACTTTTTATTTCCATAAGCCTCTTGCTTTATGGAAAATTGTTCTTGTTTCATATTGCTAATATGTGTCCTTTTTTAGTATGTTTCTTTTTTTTTCTTTTTATTTTTTGAGACAGGGTCTTGCACTGTCACACAGACTGGAGTGCAGTGGCACAATCATAGCTCACTGCAGCCTTGACCTCCCAGGCTCAAGCAATCCTCCTGCCTCAGCCTCCCAAGTAGCTGGGGCCACAGGTGTGCACCACCACACTGGGCTAATTTTTTTTTTTTTTTTTTTGTAGAGATGGGAATCTCACTATGTTGCCCAGGCTGGCTTTGTTAAGAAGTACATTTCTTATGCTAATTATAAATTCTTGATCTATCTGACACCTCCTCCCCCGAAAAAAACACTCTCATTGCTTCACCACACCAAGCAACTGACA